>NC_000001.11:53947774-54099289 GCF_000001405.40 Homo sapiens | reverse complement strand
CAGCCTGCTTTCCAAATCTCCAAAGCACATCTCTGCAATCATTCTACTTTCCAACTATCACCACTGAAGGCTTTCAGCCAGAGAGCAATTTGTTTTCAACTTACTCTGGGTTCCTAAGTTAGCAGAACTCTTTGGTTCTTTAAACATGAAGCTTGCTACTTCCTGTCTCCCTACCCCAGCTTCTCTTCCACATAGCCTATTAACACAAAAGTGACCAGTTCCTGCTTCAAATCAGTCTAACGCCTTCACCTGATGCTCAAGACCCTTCAAACCTGATCCTGGTCCTTGCCTTCCTCTCCTGCCTCATCTCCAGCTACTCTCCTGCCAGTGTCCTCTACTCCAGCCATACCAATCACCTTCCAGATATCTCCACTTCTGGGTTTTTCCATACTCTGCTTGCTCTGCCAGGCATGCATCTCAACCACCCAATTAATTACTCCTGCCCTTTAATTTTGAAATTTTCATTCTATTAACTAACATTCCCCTATCCAAACTCCTGCCCTTTAAGACTGAACACAGGTATCAGCTCCTCCAGGAAGCACTCCCTGATTGAATTAGATGCTTATACTGTACATCCACAACCAGTCACTCAACTATCCAATAAATAGTTATGGAGACCTAGCTTGTCCCAGGCTCTGTTCCAGATGCTGGAGATATAACAGGGAACAGAACAGAGACTCTGCTTTCATGAAGCTTACATTCTGGGAGTGGGGAGATAGACAATAAAGAAATAACTATGTTAAAGAGTAATAAATATTCTGAAGAAAAATAAAGCTAGGTACAGCATTAAAGAATAGTTGGGAGGGAGTGCTATTGTATTTAGGATAGTCAGCAAAAGCCTTTTTGATAAGGGAAAGAGAGACCTAAAGCAAGTGAGGACAAGAACATGCAGATGTCTGGGGAAAGAGCATTGCAACTGGAACAGCAAATGCAAAGAAGTAATATATTAGAAGTAATGGCAAAAACCACAATTACTTTTGCACCAACCTAATCAAACCACCAGGACTTGGTTGGCTGAGGGTGGGAGATGTGGGGTCTAGGCTGACTCCTTGAGTTCCTAGCTGGAGTGTCTGGCTTGCTGGTACTGCCAATGGAAAGAAGACATGTTATATCTGAGATGTCTATGGGGCATCTAGGAAATATCATCTGAAAGTCAGGGGACAGGTCTGGGCTGACGATACAAACTGGAATGTCATCAGCATGTAAATGATGCTTGAAAACATGAGAGTAGATGAAATCATCCAAGGCAACCATATACAATCAAATAGACCCGGATTTTGAATCTTAGATCTGTCATTCACTATCTGCGTGACCTTGAGTAAGTTACTATACCTTTCTGAGCCTCACTTTTCTCATGTTTAACTGGGTATTTTCTTTTTGTAAAATGGTTACCACAGTGCTGGGCCCAGGGTAAACGCTCGATTATTATTATTCTAGCTCCAATAGTTACTAGCAGTAGGAAATTGAAGGTGATGTTTCTGTTCAGTGAGCCTCAGGCTCCCATTTGTAACTACTGCTCAGTATACACCTACCCCACAGAATGGATGCTCAGGAAATGGTTGCTAAATAAACGAATAAATCTAAAAAATGAAAACAACAATACCTACTTAATACAATGGGTGAGAGAAGTAAGCAATATTTTTACAAAACTATATAAAGATCCAGGTAAAGGTTAATAAACTGTCTTAGGAAAAGTGCCTAGTATTTAGAAGGTAGGCAATAATGTTAGTCCCGTCCCTTCTCCCCTTGCTTTTCAACTCATCTTCCTTTTTTTTGGATTTTAAATCTCTCCCCTTCTACCAGCTCTTTCCTTTCAGATTACAAACGTGCTCCAGTCTCCCCTAATCTAATCCCCACTTCCTTGAGTCTTCTACATTCCTCAAATCCTTGTTCCATCATTTTTAAATTTCACCAACTGTACCCCTTCTCAACTCAAAACACTTTTCAGTGAACGAACTCCACCTTTTGTTTTAGAAAAAAAAGTTCCCAGCTTACTATTACTTTTAAAAAAACAAGTATTATTTACGTAATTGTTAAAACAGGCCTGTGTAGAGATATTTCATTTTAACATATATATGTATGTACTTTTTTCTACTGCAGTAATTCATTTCAAGAGAAATTTCATTATGTATCTTCTACAGAGCCCTAAACTGAGAGCGCCAGCGTATTCAAATAAACCCTGAGGTGTGGGAGGCTTCGGGCCAGTTCCTCATTAGTAGCCTCAGCATGGGGGCTCTGGAGACCAACGCAGAAGGTCTTCCAGGGAGAGCTGAAACGTTCAGATAAGTGAGCTCTGGGAAGAAGGGGTAGTTGGCTGGCTCTCGCAGGCTCACCCCTGGGATAGAGCAAAGAGAACAGACAGGGGAGTTCTGAGAGGCACCAGAGCTATCTAAACTCAGGGGGATGGAACCGAGTGAGCGGCAGCGGTAATTGAGTTTCAGTTACCTGCAGGGTGGTGAAATATAGTAGTAACTTCATCTGACTGACATGGGGGAAGTTTAGAGGTGTCCTTGGCATATTCACAGTGAAATCCATCACCCTTTCACCATGTTGGGTGATAGCAACCGTATGGCGCTTCCTAGTGACAGCCAGTGTGCGTTCTGTTAGGCAGCACCAGCGCACTGCAGCTAATGAAGCACATTCCTGCAGGCCTGTCTCCTAGGGCTCTCCGAATCCTCTGTCTGCAAAGGAACGGCACCATGGGAAAATCTAGCACAGCCAGCATCAGCCATCACCCAAACTCAAAAGCGTCTTTGAACGGCAGAGACAGGCCCATTTTCCTCTCTGCCTGGCCCAGGGCTGGAACCGTCCTCAGGTCACTTTTTGTGGGTCTGTACAAACGTGCCGACTGGCAGCGAGCCGCTCTTCACCTGAGCCCGGATTTCAGCTCGGTGCTTTAATGTGAAGACCAGGGCTCTCACCGTCCGCCGGTACGGCCCATTAATGAGGCGGGAGCAGAGATGAAACGTTTCCCGTTCAATATTTTCAACCAGTAGGTGATCCATCTAAAAAACAGCAAAATTATCAAATTAGAGCCTTACATTGCGTAAGGATTAAAAGCAAGAGAGGCTGGAGCACTCTGCTCAGAGGCCTCCATTAATCAACTGAAATTCAAGGACATCTACTTCCTGTCACAAGAGAAACAGGAAGAGCAAATTAATTCCACCCTGGCAATTAAGGAACAAGGCCATGTGCTTTGTGACAGGGACCTCATTCACAACCCCTGCCGGGTGGTAATATAACAGGAAACTGGCCTGAACTAAGCAACGGGTACTGGGCCCTGTACTTTACCAACCAGGAAACGAAGACCAAGAATAATAAATCAGTATAACGGTTCATATTTTTTTTTGTTTTGTTTTTAGACTGCCTTTTAACTCCTTACGGCATTTTAGAGACATGGGGTCTAGATCCTAATATGTGTACAGAACAGTTCAAAAATCACTTTTCACATTTAATGCTCATAACTCCTATTATCACATTTTACAGATAAGGAAATAGGTTCAAAGGCAAAGGTTCAAGGTCTTACAATTACTAAGAGACAGAGCTGGGACTGTGACCTGGACCCCTCGACTCCAAAGTTCATGTTTCTTCCCTTTCACCATACTAATGGCCCCTTCAACATTCCGAGAGAATGGTTGAGATTGGAGAGACGCCTACAGTTTCCATTAAGCAGAGCAGGTCTAGGGAAGGGAACTGTAGCAATTCTGGGGTGGTCTGGCTCAGGCCCAAGCCATCTTGAGGTCCCAGACCTAATCAAAGCAGGAGAGATCTGGAACTTTGTCTACACGGTCTGAATCCAGGGTAGGTTGGGATGCTGATCCGAGACCCCCCAGCCCCTACCCTCCTTTCCAGGCCCATCTTCAGCTATTCCCCTCCCCAATCCTGACCACACCTGGCCCTGAGCACTCCACTCTTGACCACTTTCACACACCTCTGTGCCTCTGCACCAGCACATGTTCCCTTAGCAAGGCACACCTTTCCCTACGGAAAACACTCCTCTTTGTATGTCAAAGCCGAGGCAAAAACAACCAAACAAAAAGACCCCAGTGCAAAGGACTGAAAGCTCTTCAGGCTGCCACCATGCCCTGAGCTTCCCTTAGTCACTATCATCATATATTATAAATGAAGTATATACTTTTATTTTACAGATACTGTCTCACTCTGTCACCTGGGCTGGAGTGCAGTGGTGTGATCAAAGCTTACTGCAGGCTCAAACTCATGGGCTCAAGTGATCTTCTGGCTTCAGCCTCTCAAGAGCTAGGATTATTACAGGCATGCACCACCATGCTCCGCTAATTAAAATTAAAAAAAAATTTAGAGATGGGGTCTTGCTATGTTGCCCAGACTGGTCTTGAACTCCTGGCCTCAAGCAATCCTCCCACCTTGGCCTCCCAAAGTGCTGAGATTACAGGCATGAGCCACTGCACCCAGCCAATGATCTATATTTTAAGTTTGTCTCTCCTAGTAGAAAATTCCTTGAAAATAGGAGACAAATTTCTCTCTCTCACTTCCTTTTTTACCTTTAACCTTTCTCTCCCTACCTTAGCCACTCATTCAAACATTTATTCAGCACTATGTGCCAGGCTCTGTGCTTGGGCTGAGCAATAAACAGTGACTAAGGCAGGCTCAGCCCTTGGGCCCTTGGGCAGCCTAGTCTAGTAGGACAGACAGACTGTGAACAGGGGTTGTAAGGATCCTGTGCACCAGGAGAAAGGAGAGGAACCAGCGCTGTGGAGAACACAGCCATGGCAAAGCAACCCAACCCAGGAGGGCAGTGCCTGGCTTCAAGAGGAAATGAAGTTTAATCTGAGACCTGGAGCATGAGTAGGATCTGGCTAGGTGAAATAGGTGTTTACTTTGTGATAAATTCACTGAGCTGTACATATATGTTTGTTCTTCTGTGCAAAAAGCAAAGTTCAAAAAAAGAAAAAACACACCCCAAATAAAAAGGGGTCACCTGACATTTAATAAAATGTCCTAACATGAGAGACAGATGGACCAAAGTAAGTAGAAAAAACAAACTTGTCAGATATAAGGACCAAGCAAAGAGCAGAACAGGACTGAAAGAGACAGAGAGAAAGAAAGAGAGAGAGAGTGAATATCCAGGCCCAGATATCTGCCTTAGTCTAGCCGACAAAAGGTGCTCACAAAAGTTTGTGGTCCTAATGACAGACAGATTATTTCCAAGGCTTGTGCTGGAGTGAGTGGACTTGGCGCTGTGGTTCTCTAGAACCCAGACTCCAAGTTTTTCCAGGCTTCCTTTCCGGGCACTGAACTAGCCCCCTGAGGCAGGCCTGGCACCAGACTACTTTAGGAAGCTGGAAAGGTGGCTAGCTGGCTATCCAGCATTTGTCCTGCAGCATTTGCCAGAAAGAAAGTTCCTTATCCCGGTATGAGGCTGGTTAGTCTCCACTGATGGTTAGAGATACACTTAGCATGAAAGTCTTTTTTTTTTTGAGGGGAGTCGTTATCAAAGAAGAAGGGTATATGTGTTTGTAAAACAAGTCATGGCCACTCCAGCAAATTATAGTACCTGTATTAAAAAAAAAAAAAAAAGTACTCTGAGAGTATCTTGGAATTCACATACTTCATTCAGCAAATAGTTAACTGAATTGCTACTCTGGGTCTAGCCTGCTCTTAGAGAGATAGAACAGAAAGGATGTGAACCCTGCCCATCACAAACTCACATCCTAGAAGTGGGTAGGAACCTGGGGGTAGGCAGCATGACAGGTGCTATGCCAGCAGTGTGGTGGTAATAGAAGGCAAGCATCTAACAATTCTCATGCATGCCTCTTGTTAAATGAAGACCAATCAGAATTAAGAAATGGAGAAAAATATGTGACATTAAAATCATAATAGAAAATGATTCATCATGTACCTTATGTATAACAAGTTTGTTGCAAAGTGAAGAATACCTGTCTTGTAAGTGCCTTTGGGTAATCCAAACCCACCCAAGTTGATGAGTCCTTTCCAGTGGGTCCTAATCTGGTGCTTTAGGTGAGCCCTTCTGGGTGGAAGGACCAGAGTTTCACCGAGTCCTTGAGAAAAGGGCTTTTGCTATGAGATAATTTGTATGAATGGGAATGAGGATAGGAACACTGGGAGAAACCTAGGGATTTATTTAGAAATCGATCCTTTCTCTGTATCTCTCACGGGCTGCCTGGTCTCTTTCTCACATGTTTTTGCTCTTCTCCATGGGCCTTACTCACTAACAATTCTAACTGCCTTATTCTCTCCTCCTATGCTACACATCTTTTCTCTACTCACAGCTCTGCTTCCTCACAACTCCTCCAATATCCTTTCTGTTCAACACTTGCACTGTTGTTTTCTTGGTATCTCCTAGTTCACATTTCCCAGAGACAGAGAGTCAGAATCCTTATTTGTTTGTGCCTGTGAGTTAAGTGTGTTATACAGCTAATTCTGGATGAACTAGCTATAGCTGGAGGAAGATATAAAACATGACCACCTTGAGCTCCTTCATCAGTGGGAAGTGGTGTCATAACCAATTAGTGATGTCTGCCACATGCATAAGCTCTCTCAGGGCATGGGAACAGGGTCTTCTTCATGCGTTTACCTTAAGTGCGGAACTTCCCACAGTCTTGTAACTATCTATTTGTCTGTCTTCCTCAGAAGACTATAAGGACTGCTAGAGTTGAAACCATGTTGTATCCATTTCTAAACTGTGCATGCCTAGCTAGCATAGGTTAGTGGCACATAGTAAATGTTCAACCAATATTTGTTAAATGAATGCCCTTCCTTCCCATGTGTAACCCTTCTTTCTTGCCTTCTAATAACATCATATATATAGCAGATAAAATATGTTTCTATTTTATGTGTATGTTCTAATTAGCAAAATCCTACACCTCTTACAAAGGCGGGCTCCACTGCCATCTCTTCTCCGAAACATTCCCAGATTCCCCCATCAGATTTAACTGCTCTGCACTTTATGTGTTGATACTTGCTAGTACCATTACTTCAGACTGCCTCATATTTTAATTAATCGTTTATAGGTTATCAGCCAGGAGATAGTAAAGCTTTCTTAGGATAGGGAATGCGACTCATTCATGATTGTCTTCTCCCCCAGCACCAAGTAGATCCTTACTAAACATCTGTTGAATTGAATAGCCACTGGAAGCAAACTTTGTGTGGGTTTTCCAATAGCATGATTGAATTTGTACATATCTACCCACACTTCTTTTTGACCACTTGAATACATTAATGAGAGAGCTGGTCAAAGCCAGGGGTGCAGTCTGAGGCCATTAAACAAAGAAAAAACTAATAGTCCCATATGGGGACGTACCCCTGACCTGGATCTCATTAGCACCATCTGACAACCAACTGAGCCAACCAGCCAGTGTTTCATAACTCTTAATGATACAGGCTCACTTTGAGAATCAGGTTCATTTTTTTAAATGACATAATAGGAAAATGATCACAGGCCGTGAGGTAGGAAAGGAGAGTGGATAATGAGGAAGGGGAAGTAAGAGAATGACACCACAGGGGATGTTCATATGAGGAAAGATCTAAAAGATGGGGAAGAACAAAGAAGATCTGGAAGGGAGAAAGTAAAGGGGAATGGAGCCTGGGTTTCAACGATGGAGTTTTTATTCATCTATTTCACTATTCCAAGAACAAGGAAATAATCCATGAATCTAGAAAGCAAGATCTGTAGGGTAATAAAGAGATGCACCTTTAGGCTGTGCGTTATTATTCTTCATCTATGGCTTTCACTATTAAAGGATATGAGTGAAACAACATGGAAACATTTTTTTTCTACAAAAATGTAATGAGAAGATTTGGTATTTGCAATAACACATGCTAGGATCAAATTGTAGAGGCTTTTAAGTCACTGGGCCAATAACTTAAACCCAATGCTTTACTGCTGCCTGATTAAGTACATTTACGAAGATCTGATGTCTGATTTGAACGCACTCAACATTGGTTACTGTCAAAGACCAGATACTGAATTAGATGGTTCATTGATTTGCTCTAATATGGAAATATCTCAGATGATGATAGGTGCTAAGAATTAACCTTATATAAAAGTGCTTGTATTTATATTCTCTGACATAACAAACTGATAAACATGCTATCAAATGCTGTTTATGCAAGGAAAGCAGAGTGATTTTTTTTTTTTTTGGCTAAGGACGACAGTGAGATGCATACTTTTAATTTTTTAAATTTACTCTTTGGGAACAAAACCATTCAGCTATGCTTAATCTGATATTTTTTCCAATTATGTTGGAAAACACTAACAAACATATCACTTTTTTAACTTTGCTTTATAACACTTGAGTGCTTACCACTTGATGTGCCATTTAAAGGATAATTAATGGATAAACTAAAAGGATAATTATCGTGGAGTTTAATACAGTAGGCAAACTGCTCATTAATCCTTACAAGCATAGCTTTGTTATTATCATTTACTTAAAAAGATACCACAGGAAATTGGTATTTACCACCACATTAACTACGTATTATATATCCACACTGTATGTTTCTGCAGTAATTTTGACTTATTTCAAAACTAAACTTTATTTAAAATAAATCTTGTTGGCTAATCGATACTCTGGAAAATCAGACTTACAACTTTCATACTTTGTTCTCTCTTCCAAGGGTTTAATACTCATATTAAAGCTTCCTTTAGGAAAAGTTAAGTGAACCTCCAGCATAGCAATTCACTGAACTATCAAATAGTCATTAAAAATTATAAACATGAAAAAATAAAGATATATAGAAAAGGATATAAAAAATGACACTAACTAAAATTGATCAAGATTCAAGAGAACACAAATGTAAATAATTACATCAATATTCTGCAATGTTACTTAAATAATCAATAAAAATATCTTATGGAACATTTGGCATATAATTCACTCTATATAAATCTCAGATAATCATAACTTGCCCAACATTCATTTAAAAACCCATAATAATTTACCAAAAAAGGAAATGTGCCAATGTGTTAACAAGATTATGTCTGGGTTACATTTTTTTCCCTTTTATACATTTTTCTCATTTTCTATTAGAAGTTTGTATTTAAAAACCCAAAACTTTATTTAGTTTTTTAAGGTTTCAAATGTACTTTATTTCTTCAATAATGCCATATCTTAATGGGTACACAGTGCTTTAACTTGGCATCAACTACGAGCTGTTTTTTAAACAATTCATTATTACACCAGCTGGAATGATTACTGATCTCTCCATTCCTTTGGGGTGACCCTGCCAACAGGGGACAGGTTCCATTCTATTCTGATTTGTGTTGCTACCTATGTCCATATAGCAATACAGAAAGTGGTTCCACTAGCTAATACAGCACTACCATATTTATCATGAAAATCAGGTGTACGTTTCCGGTGGCTCTGCCTTGCCATTGTTTGCTGAATGCTTCAAACTTGGAGACGACTTGGTGCGTTTTTGACCAAGAGGAACATGGTGAAGGTGAAGACAGAACTGTGGCAATGCAGCTGCTGCTTTGGTGCAAATTCACTTCAGGTCCAAAACTTTATTTTAAAAAAAGTAAG
Source organism: Homo sapiens (assembly GCF_000001405.40). NCBI lineage: Eukaryota > Metazoa > Chordata > Mammalia > Primates > Hominidae > Homo > Homo sapiens. Next base: position 54,089,765 of record NC_000001.11, on the reverse strand, counting down.
TACTATATCACAAGTCCTTCTTTTGTAGATAAAAAATTGAGATAGAAAGGCTAAAATTTTTTTTAGAGACTGTAGTAACAGAGCTAGCATTTAAATCAGACTTCTGAATTGCTTATTTTATTAATATTAAATTGTTCTTTAAGGATACTTTAGCAGAGTTGCTCTGGGATATCCTGGGATAAGGAAGAAACATGAATATTATATGTCCTATTTTCCAGAGTATTAATCGGCTTATAAGATTTGTTGTTTGATGACAATGAATATTATTATTAATGAGCAAAAATCCTTCTTCCAGCATGTATACTTCAAACCACTAACATCATCTGAATTGTAAGCCATGAAGGTGTTAGGGAACAAGTCTATCCAATTGATTTTATGCCTTAAAGCTAAAGATATGGCTGTTGACAAAAAATGGGGGATCTGAGTCTTTTCAATAGACAGCTATTTATTTTACCATTGATATTCCATAACACAGTCCATCACAGAATTTTTACTTCAGCAAGAAGGGAAGGAATTTTAAATGGGAAGTAACCAACATCCATTAAATAACTTCTAATCAGCAGGCACTACTATTCTTTTGCATATATGATTCATTTAACCTTTTTAATACCTTAAGTGGTAGGACTTACAATCCACATTTTACAGATTAAGAAATCAAGTCTCAGAAAACGTTAAGCTATCTGCCTAAGGTGTCACAACTAGAATGTCAGGGTTTCAACCCAGATCTTGCTAGTTCAAAAGCCTGCCTCCTACAACACTGTCTCCCGGAATGCTTATAAATCCAGAATCCTTAAAGAATAACTGGTTAAAATAAAGCCACAGCATTAAGATTATGAAATCTTAATTATGAAATTATGAGGCGTTTAACCAAGAGCACCTACTAATCACATCCGACCAGGACATTACCTTTATTTTTCTTCTTTTAAAAATTAATTATTATGGGTACATAACAGTTGTATATATTTAGGGCATTACCTTTAATTCCAAGGCTTCTGAGAGTAATTTCTGAGCATTTTTCCTCAACGACTCGGTTTTGGGATCACTTCTAACTTCAATAGAAGGTCTATTTGAATGTTTTTCAGTGAAAGTTTTCCACTCAGTGTAAACTTCTCTGGCAAGAGAAGCCACTTCTGAATCTGAGTGTTTACGCATCTTGTTCACAGTGTGACCTGGAACAGGAAGAGAAAAACCAAAGGAAAGGTTGTTACATCTTCTTCTGAGAAGCGCAGGACTAGATGGACTGACGTGTGGCACTGAGAAAGTCATTCACACACCCAAGGATGTAAAGACTCTTGTGCAAAAGAAACCCATTTCACAAGGACTAAGATAATAAGATAATCACTGGGGGAGAACCAGCAGCCTAGCCAATGAATTAAGTCATAAACTAGAAGCAAAATCAATAGATTCTTAAAAAGAACAACAAAGGTAACTTCTTTAACCAAAAATTACTTTAAAAAAAATGAATTAAGCATTTATCTAGTTTTTTGGGGGAAGGGGGTACATACTGTATTTCAAGACAACAAAATAGCCCTAGTTATTATGGGAATATTATTTAGCTAATAAATGTGAAAAGACTGACAGAATGAGAACATTTTTTTGTAGCCCTGATGAAATAATTCATTCAGAGACAATCATCAGTGGATGAACTCATTCAATGAGTCTGATGGGGAAATTTATAATGGAGGGATGAGCTGTCATCATCTAAACCCACTGTTCAATGTTAGCATCCCTAAGAGTGGGACTGTCAGACAGAAGAAACAGAAGAAGTACTTCGCACCCTTAACCTATGAAGTAGTCTTATCCTCTTCCCCAAAAGAAAAAGAACAATAACCCAGTTAGTCATTCAAAGCTAACTTCCAATTCATAGGAAATAGGAGAGACAGAGGAATAAATTAAATTGTAGTATGAAGAAACAAGACAAATTCTGAATGTGGGACATTCTACAGGACAACAGATATGGTTTCTTCCACAGTCAGTGATTTTTCTCTTTGTTGTTGTTTTTTGTTTGTTTTTATTTTTGAAAAGGGGCTAGGGTTAGGGACTGCTGTAGATTAAAAGAATCTCTTGAGTACAAACTACCAAATGCGACGTGTGATTCAAATCCCAGTTGGAACAAACCAACTGTTAAAAGATATTTTGAGATAAACAAGGAATATGAATATGCACTAGATACTAAATTATACCATGGAATAATTGTAAACTTTGTTAAGCACAATAAGAATGGCACTGTGATTACAAGAGAAAATATCCACATTTTTTAGAGATGCATACTGAAGTATGTAGAGTTGAAATGACAAAAGGTCTGAGATTCTACTTTAAAATACCTCAGCAACAACACAAAAGCAAAAAGGGAAAGATGAAGTGGGACAAAATCTTAATAGTTATTGAATCTAGATGAAGGGCATATGAGAGTTAGTTATAATATTCTCTTTATTTTTGTGTATGTTTGAGAATTTCATAATAAAAATGGAAAAAAGGTGAAGGGTCAAAAATATCAATATGCAAAGTACTTAGATAAAAATAAATACCTAGAAAGGCTAAAGAAGTCAACTGAACACTTAAAACTAAAAGTTTAAAAAATGGAAGAATATAAGATACATATATATTTTTTAATTTTTTATTTTAATGAACTTTTTAATCCTGCTCCATGGGTTGAATATAAGACAGATATATTTTTAAAAACCAATAGCTTTCTTAAGTCAGCAATAGCCAGTCAGAACACCACAGGGGAACAAATCCTGTTTAAACTAGTAAAAACTATAAAGCACTTTGGAAAGCATGGACAAGAATGGGTGTGTGAGCACTTGTGCTGTCTGTTTGTGCCCACTTCCTTAATGCTCCAGGATTCCTCCTTTTCCTCCATCCCTAGCCCCGCTGCCCTGCCTTAGGGCATGTTGCCTCCAGTTGACTATGGAGGCACCCTGATTGACCTCTCCAGCTAAGTTTGGTACCCCTTAATGCCATCTTCCACACTGCAGCTAGGATAGCCTTTATTTATTTTTAGTGTTTTGTTTTTTAGGGACTTTTTTCCTAAAGCATAAATTTGACCATTTCACTCCTCCACTTAAATCCTTTGGTGCTATATCCACTCTTACCTTTTCATAAAAGTCCCTTCACAATCTGCCACCCTCCTACCTACTTTCTATCTTCATTTCCAGCTACTATCCACTGTCATCCAATACTCCAGCTACTTGCAGCTCTTAAAACATTTTATTTTTTATCTCTTTACTTTTGAGCATACACCCCAATGAACATTCTGTCTGCCTGAAATACTCTTACTTCTCTTGTTATCTGGCCAACTTCCATTCGGCCTTTAAGACTCATTTAAGGGTCCCTTCCTCCAGGAATTCTTCCTTAATATCTCTAGTCTTGGTCAGTACCCCTGCTCTCTGCTTCCTTAGCACCTTGCGCTTCTGTTTATCATGGTAATTACTAGAGTTAGTTGTAATTATTTGATCAGTTATCTCTTTTGTTCACCAACTTGAGCTTCTTGCAGAAAGAGCTATGCAAGAAATCCCCTAACCTTAGGGGATGCTCATCTTTGTATCTCCAGCAGTGAGCATCGTGGCAGGAGATGGGAATCAGGAGAGCAGGTTGGTTGAATGAGAGACTCATATAAAGAATAACATACATTCCTACTAAAATACATAACAGAAGATTGGAATAAAGGGAAAATATACCTTATTATGAGATGGAAAAATGAGCACAAAAATGCCAATATAGAAAGTAGTCGCCTGGGTGCAGTGGCTCATGCCTATAATCTCAACACTTTGCGATGCCAAGATGGGAGGATCACTTGAGCCCAGGAGTTCAAGACCAGCCTGGGCAACATAATGAGTCTCTATCTCTACAAAAAATTAAAAAATTAGCCAGGTGAGGTGACATATGCCTGTACTCTCAGCTACTTGGGAGGCTGAGATGGGAGGATGGCTTGAACCTAAAAGTTCAAGGCTATAGTGAGCTGTGATCATGCCACTGCACTCCAGCCTGGGCAACAGAGCAAGACCCTGCCTAAGAAAAGAAACAAAAAAGAAATTAGTTTATAGATTTTATGTAATCTCAACCAAAAATCTCAGTAGGCTATTTTTATTAGATTACAACCAAATACTTCTACACAAATATAACTGAGCAAGAGTATAAAATGCTATTTTGAAAAAGAGGAGTTATGAGGCACAACTAGCCTCATATCTAAGATCTAAGATATTAGAACATATTATAAAGTAACAACATTGAAAATGATATGGACCAACACCAAAAAAGAAAATGGATAGGGAATTTTAAAAAATGAAGGTCGCAAACAGACCATAGTACATAAGAATTTAATACATAATGAAAGAGGCATCATTGAACAAAGGGAAACAGAAAAAAAATTTTTATTTGAGAAAATGGTCAAAACATTTAGAAAATTTCTCCAATTATGCCAACTGCATGGCCCAATATTGTTTGATTCCTTTATTCTCCACACATTTATTGAAGGCCTGTTTGCTCTAGATACTATGCTGGGCACTAGTCATGTAGGGCTTAAACAAGCAATTGTCCCTGCTTTACAGGTTCTATGAAGAGAATCCTGGAGTTGAAAAATAAAACTTTGAAGGGAAGACAGGGTAAAATAATATTGAGTCTTTAACTTCTCCCTCTAACCAATTATTTATCAAGAATTTGTACCTAGCCTTTCTATGGACCTGGGAAAGGAGTACATCAACACTCATCACAAGGAGGAAGAGGAGGAGGAATGCAGAGCACTCATTAGAAATGTCTAAAGGTGCTTCCTAGCTAGCGATGCTTAGGAAAGTGCATTCCAATGCACAAAGCACAAAGCACCCCTGGATACTTTCCTTTTCTAGGTGGAGTTCTCCTTATCCCTGAGATTATTCATTCAGCAAGCAAGATTTTATGCTCTTGGTCACTGTAGTAGATGCTAAAAATAAAATGATAAATAAGATCGTACAGGATATCAGACCTAGATCCAGAGCATTTAAACACTTTTTTTTTTTTAGACGGAGTTTTGCTCTGTCACCCAGGCCGGAGTGCAGTGGCCACCATGCCTGGCTAATTTTTGTATTTTTAGTAGAGACGGGGTTTTGCCATGTTGGCCAGGCTGGTCTCGAACTCCTGACCTCAGGTGGTCCACCCGCTTTGGCCTCCCAAAGTACTGGGATTACAGGTGTGAGCCACCGAGCCCGGCCCATTTAAACACTTTTACCGGGCATTTACCTTATGCCTGGTGCTGAGGATACAGAGATGAGGAGAACACAGCCCTGGGAATTTAGCCTACATTTTACCTGCCAAAGTGTACAAAGAAGACACATGTACAGAAATATTCATTCCAGTATTGTTTGTGATAGTGAAAAGCTAGGAACAACCTACAAGCTCATCATTAAGGGTCCTGTTTTTTAAATAAATTATAGTCCATTTAAACAATAACTACTTTGCAGCCATTAAAAAATAAAATAGGCTGGGTGCAGCAGCTAGCGTCTGTAACCCCAGCACTTTGGGAGGCTGAGGTGGGTGGAACCCTGGAGGCCAGGAGTTTGAGACCAGCCTGGCCAACATGGCGAAACCCTCTCTCTACTAAAAATACAAAAATTAGCTGGGCAAGGTGGTGAATGCCTATAATTCCAGCTACTCAGGAGGCTGAGGCATGAGAATCGCTTGAACCTTGGAGGCAGAGGTTGCAGTGAGCCAAGATCACACCACTGCACTCCAGCCTGGGTGACAGATCAAGACGGTCTCAAAAAAAAAAAACCCGACAAAACACTAAACTAAAATAGCTCTACATGTAGTAACCGGAAAAATGATCACTTTTTTTAGTTTAGTGAAAAAAGCAGGTCTCAGAGCACACATAGTGTGAGTCAATGTTTATTTTTAAAACTACATATGTGTATACATATAAACAACATTTTTGTTTATATGCAAAGAAAAAAGCCTTAAAGAATTTACAATAAAATTATTAATGGTGGTCTCTTCTGAGTAGTGGGACTGTGTGTATCCATGCAGTTCAGCTCACAATCTAGTGGGCTGGCTCAACATGTCAACAAACCTAACAGCCTGGGCTGTGTTATAGTAGGGCAATATTCAGGTTTCTTTCAGAAAAGAGATCCTTCCCTTCATAAGAGTCTCACCTTAACCTTTTCTCTCTCCAAGAAACGCACTGCTGACCCAGCTTTATGTATGAGAAATAATACAGAAGTCCCTCAAACAGAGAGTCCTTTGACTTGGTCGAATCCAGCAGTCCTTCTCCATCCTGACATTACTTGGCCTCTCTGTGGCATCTGACACTGGCTTTCTTACTGAAATATTCTCTTGCATTGCTTTTGGAGACAGCACCTGTTACTGAGTCTCTTCTCCTCTCTATCTCCTCTGCTGGCTGCTAATCCTTTGCCCAATCTTTAATTATCTGTGAACCCCAGCTAGGGCATGGTCCTTGGCCTCTTTTCTTTCTCCACTTGCCTTCCCTGAGTAATCTTGCCCACTCCTGTGGTCCAGCTACCTGCAGGCAGATGACTCCCAACTACGTGTCCCTAGCCAAAGGTTCTCACTGAGCACGAGACCAAATATCCAGTCCCCTACTGGACATCTCCACCTGCTTATTCTGCAAACACCTCTAACTCAACATTTTTGGTCACAGAATGGCACCACCACCCACCCACCATTTTAGGATCCACTGTCTCTTTCAACCTTATGTTCACTCAGCCATTCCAAGTCATATAGATCTACTTCCTTAATTCTCCCTCTATCTTTTACTCTTCCTCCTCGCCTGTTCTCCACTCTTACTACCCTGATTCAGGTTCTCATCACTTCTCCACAGGTCTACTGTATTACTTCACTAACCAATCTCTGTCTCCAGTCCTGCCCTCTCCAATTCATCCTCTCTACTGAAGGCAAAATGACCTTTTTCAAACACAATTTGATCATACCATACGCTTAATAAAAATCCTCCGATGGTTCTCCATGGCCCTCAAATTAACTTCTAACATAGCATTAAAACTCTGGATGACCTAGAATCTCTTTGGCCTCACCTGTCACCATGTCGCCCTCCTTCCTCCCTCCCCTCACTTTCACCCCTCCCACTCTTTTGCCTCTGTACACTAACTTCTAGCCATAGAGAGCAGCTTGCATGTCCCTGTTTGGGGTCATGCTGGCTGGCCTGCTCCTACTTCTGTGCCTTAGCTCATACCATTCCCTCTGCCTAGAATATTTAAATGTCCATCTTATCCTCAAAACTGTAAACGGGTTGAGGGCAGAACCTGTACCTTACTCCAAGTTCTATTCCCAGCCCCCCAGCATAGTGCCTAGCACAGAAGAGACAATCCATAAATGTTTGCTGAATTGAATCAGTTAAATAAAAAACATTTACATTTGACTTTCAAATTGGTTTTGTACTGACATTTGAATATGGATAGAGGTGATTAGGAAAATCACACAACTGCAAACAAAATAATGAAACTATACTGTAAAGAAATGAATCCAAAGGTGCTGAGAAAATGAAAAGTTTCTAATTCTTATCCACTGCTGAGAATTTTTCCTGCTTATCACTCCAGGCTTTGTATGAATTATCTCATTTAATTTTTATAACAATGACTTAAATACCATTATTATATCTCTTTTTACAAATGAGAAACCTAAACTCAGTAAGGCACCTTGCCCAAGGTCTCACAGCTAATAAGTGTGGAAGCTAGGATTAGAACACAAGCAGCCTGACTCCACCTCCAGAACCTGCACACTTAACCCCTAATACATTATACTTCTCTGTTATTAGGGACTGGCACACAGGAAGTCTTCAATAAGGCTCTATTGAGATACTGTTATTCACATTCTTGGTATTCCAAAATCAGAAGAGCACAGGCCCTGAGAGGTGGCCGAAGGACAGAAAGCTTCAACTCTCAGGTCCGGACAGTGGAGTCACTGCTTTTGGCCTGCAGGGGGCAGTACATCCCTCAGATACTCCCACAAGAGCCATGCCCAGACTGGTCAGGAGTGTTCTGTCAACACCAGCCAAACCAGCCCAGGAAGCGTAGGTAGGGCTGTAAAGGAGCCCAGTGGGGGATGCGACTTGTCAGCAAGAGGGAAGAATTTCCAAAGAGGACTAACAGCAAAAAGGCAATTCAGTCTGGGGCAAGAAAGAGAAGGAGTCTGGGAAACCCTCTACTAGACAAAAACAGAGCAGAGTCATAAATTTCAGATCACAAAGGGAATTTCATGATAACATTAATAATGACAGGCTGCGCATGGTGGCATGCCTGTAATCCCAGCACTTTGTGGGGGCCAAGGCAGGAGGATCGCTTGAGTGCAGGAGTTTGAGATCAGCCTGGGCAACATAGTGAGACCCTATCTCTACAAAAAATTTAAATAAATAAATAAATAAAAGAATTGACTGGGTATGGTGGCACATGCCTACAGTCCCAGCTACCTGGGAGGCTGAGGCAAGAGGATCGTGTGTGCCCAGGAGTTCGAGGCTGCAGTGAGCTATGATCACGCCATTGCACTCAGCCTGGATGATAGAGTAAGACCCTGTCCCTAAAAAAATTATAAAATAATCATAATAACAGCTATTGTGTTAACCACTTTACATATATTAATTCATTTAATCCTCAGAACAACCCTATGAAGTAGGTGCTATAGTTCCCCATTTTACAGGTAAAGATACCTGAGGTACTGAGAGGCGAGGTAACTTGCGAAAAACAACAAGAAGCCAGACCAGGTTTCATATATAAGCAGTCTGGCTCCAGAGCCCACGCTTTAACCCTCTACTATTCCCTCTGGTGATCAGATAGTCCTACATCCTCCTGATTCAGATGAAAAAGATGAGGCTCCATGACCTTTCCCCAAGGTCATAAGTTGGCCAGTAGCTACATCAAGGAAGTTAATGATCTGCAAAAAGTCATTATTTGCTCCATGAAGTTTATGTTTTAAAGTAAGCAGTGCCACTGGCTGGTCTTATGACCCAGGTCAAGTTCCCTGGGTTTAAGGTTAGGGGATTTCTGCATCCCAGCACACTGTTAAGACAAATTCCCTGCAGGAAGCAGTCTTTTGCTCATTTACCAAACATTACCAAATACTCATAGGCATTGGGATAGAATGTTGAGCAAGACAAGACCCGGAAAATCCAGACTAATCTGTATTCAAGGAGCTCTAGGAAAGTCAGGGGACAACACCTAAACAAACAAATGCACACAAAAAGGTGTTATACGGGTCCTAAGATAGTATTGAAGGGGGAACCCCAAGGAGGGCCAAAAGGGCAGAGGAGTCAATTCAGCTGGTAAAGGGGTCAGGGAACACCATGAAAGAGGCAATGCTTATCCTGGTCTTAATAATAACTCAGCCAGGCGCAGTGGCTCACGCCTGTAATCCCAGCACTTATTAGGAGGCTGAGGTGGGGAGATCACATGAGGCCAGGAGTTCGACAACAGCCTGGTCAACATGGTGAAACCCCATATCTATTAAAAATACAAAAATTAGCTGGGCATGGTGGTGCACGCCTGTAATCCCAGCTAATCGGGAGGCTGAGGCACGAGAATCGCCTGAACCCAGGAGTCGGAGGTTTCAGTGCGCCAAGATCGCACCACCGGACTCCAGCCTGTCTGACAGAGTGAGACTGTCTCAAAAAAAAAAAAAAAAAGAAAGAAAATTGGAGACCCCTGGTAATGAGCATCTCTCCATAGTCCCTGCATCACCTCACTCAGGAGCCTTCTTGCAGAGCCCTGAGAATGAAAAGCATCACACTCAGACAATGCTAATTTAGTTGGTGACTAAACTCCCAGTTCAAAGGCAACAAGGGCTGGATGCGCTGGCACTTCTGTCAGATTTTTTGAAGGGCTTTTGCAAAACAAAAATAATAATAATAACGATAACTCAAGGAGACAGGAATAACACAAGAAGTAGAGTGAACAAGAGCACAGAAGCCTGAAACACATAGCATAATTTGAGGAGTATGGTATATGGTAGACACAACAATGGTCCCCAATAATGACTATGCCCTAATCCTCAGAATCTGTGACTACGTTACCTTACATGGCAAAAGAGACTATAGATGTGATTAAGGTTAAGTACCCTGAGATGGAGAAATTAGCCTGGCTTTTCCAAGTGGGCCCAATCTAGTCACATGAGTCCTTAAAAGTGAAGAAGAGGCAGAAAGATGGGTCAGAGATGAGATGTGAGAAGAATTCAACCTACCATTGCAAGTTTTGAAGATGGAGGAAGGAGATCACAAGCCAAGGAATGCAGGTGGCCTCTAGAAACTAGAAAAGGCAACTAGTCTAGGAAACAGATTGTCCCCTAGAGCCTCCAGAAAGGAATGCAGTCCTATCATCATTTTGATTTTAGCCTTTTATTCATTTTTAGGTTTCAGGAGATGGCATAACATGGTATAAGAACATTTTAGCTTTGTCATTTATTATTTGGTTGTCTAACCTGGGGCAAGTTACTTTAAACTCTCCAAGCCTCAGTTTTTCCATTTGTAAAATGGAAAAAAATTACACTTACTTTCCAGAGCTGTTATATAGATCAAACAAGGTCATAGATGTGAAAGTACTTTGTAAGAAGAGGGGTTTTGTTGTTGTTGTTAAACAATCATAAACAAAAATACAGCATCTCTGAAATCAGATATGATTGACAAAACTTTTCCCAGAATATTCATATATATAGTGTTGCAAAAATGGAGCATGCCTGCTCACCAGGTTAAGAATACAAGGCCTAACTCCACTGCCTGATCAGCTATTTACTCGATACCCCATGCTCTTTGGTTTCCTTGATAATAAAGGTATCCACTCACAGAGGCCTTATCACTGCCAGCTCCAAAGGCGTTTTGCTAGTTGGCCCTCAACTTCCCAGACCACTTGAGGACACTCATTTCCCCTGCCTCTAAGAACAGTCTTTGGCCTGCATGTCCATGTACCGCCCTGACTCTCGTCCTGTCTAACCACACTTCCTTAGTCTCTTTATCTGGCTCCTCTTCTTCCTCCCACTTCCCCAGCATAGATTTTCTCCCAGGTTCAGTTCTTCAGCCCCTTCATCTTTCCTTTTACTTAGAGAATTCATCTACTAAGGTGATTGCAAGCAAACACTTCCTGGCAGATGACTTCCAAATAAGTATTTCCAGTCTAAATTTTGCATCTGAGCTTGAATCCCACATCTCCAACCTCCTGCTGGACATTTCCACTTAATGGGTTTATGTAAGAACAAAACTCTAGGGACATTAACTCAAATGCAAATACTGAGAGAAAATTCCCATTTGAGGTATACAAGAAAAGGCACTAAATTCTGATTTAAAAGAGTTAAATTCAAGCAGATGGTAGAACCCATAGAGACAGTCCAATAAAATAAAGGGACATATGGCTGGGGTCCAGGGCACAATGGCATCCTGCTAACCAGGAAGGAACACTGCTCCAGGAGACCTGGGTTCTCATTACATCTCTGGTGCTAACTTACTAGGTGGCCCTGGATAAGTCACTTCATCTCTCTGGGTCTCAGTTTCCCTGTTTATAAACTGAAGTAGGTAAATGGATTTAAAAGGGTTATGACACTGACATTTACAGAGCTCATAGAAATATATAAGAAAAATTATAAGATCTCAGCAGTAAATGTACAAAGAACATGAACAGACAGTTTACAAAAAAAAGAAAAAGTGCCAAAAAAATGCATGGAAAACAATTCATTCTATGCAGCACATGAAAACAAGATGCTATTTTTACCTCTTAAATTTGTAAGATTTAAGAAAATGGTAGGAATGTAAATTGGAACAACCTTTCTAAAAATCTAAGATTCAAAAATGGATCAGGATAGGAGATGCATATCCAAGAGGTATCTGAATTAAGGCCTCAGTTAAGCTGGAGACATGGACAAGCTCTCCAGCTAATCTAAAGAAGCAGCAAAAGACTAAGGGCTGAGCTTTATGGAAAAGCACCCTGTTAGGGGAGAGAGGACAAGGACTGAAGAAACACAGAAAGGAAAGAAACAAGGACACAGAAGGCGAGAAGAGCCATAGAGAAAACTTGTTCAACGTTGTCATTTTCACTCATTTGAAGACTATATTCCTGAGCTCCTGCTGTATGCCACTAATGCTTGAAATACAGTGGTAAATAAAATGTAACTTCTGCTGGCACAGAGTTACTGCCTAGCAAATAAAAAAATAAAGAAGTAAATAATTAAATAGGTGATTACAAACTGAGATAAGGGCTATGAAGGTAACAAACAGTTTAAAAATAGATACAGAACTGGCAACCAGTTCAGTGTCATTTATGTCAACAGAAAGGGAGTATCAATGGTCTCAAATTCACAGTCTGGGAAGATGAGAACTGAGACAAGACCATTGGATTTGGATAGTATGAAATTACTTGTGTCCTGAGAGAATAGTGGTTGTGGGAGAAGACAGCTTGGAATGCTTTTCCCAAAGGATTGGGCAGGCCAGAAATGGGAGTTGCGAGTAGCCAACATTTTTAAAGGAATCTGGCTATAAAAAGAGAGAAATAAGGTGTTTGGAAAAGGTGGCAAAGACAATTAAAGGGGAAGATTTGTGCTTGTCTGAAAGCAGAAAGAGCGAGCCAGTGGAGAGGATAAGGGTGGCAACATAGCGAGAGGCATCATCAGGGCATCCCCATTTTCCCTCACCTCTATGGTCAATCCTTGCTAAATCCAGCCTGTTCTCCCTGATAAGGTTTCTCTAAGGAGCTATTTCATTTCTCCATTCTCTCAGTCCTCCAAGTCTTCATCGTGTCTCACCTCAATGTTTACAGCCATACCTCATCCTCATGGCTCACTTCCTCACCTTCAAGTTTCTGCTCAAATGTCATCTCTCAATGAGGCCTACTCCAGCCCAGACCATCCACGTTCCCCATCCCCCTTAACTTGCTTGACTTTTTCTCTTGCACAGTAGTTATCATCTTCTAACATAACTACACAATTTGTTTATTATGTTTCTTCTTTATTGCCTGTCTCCTCACTAGAATGTAAGCTTCACAAGGATAGGAATTTTTGTCTTGTTTTAATCACATGTATCCAGAACACTGCCTGGCACATGAATGAATATCTGAATGACCTCCTATCTGATCTCCTGATTTCTACCTGTTCTTTCTCTATAACACCCTTTTCCTATGCATTTTTCTCTTGGTCACCAGAAACGCTCATCATGTCATCCTATAGCTACCATTAAATGGTTCCAGTAACAGCTGTTTCTAAAGCTCATAGGTTGCTAAGAAGATACCCACCTTCACTGAAGTGCTATTCAGAATAGCAAAGACATGGAATCAATTGAAATGCCCATCAATGACAGACTAGATAAAGAAAATGTGGCACAGATACACCATGGAATACTATGTAGGCATAAAAAAGCACAAGATCATGTCCTTTGTGGGAACATGGATGGAGCTGAAGGCCATTATCCTTAGCAAACTAACGCAGGAACAGAAAACCAAATACTGCATGTTTCACTTATAAGTGGGAGCTAAATGATGAGAACTCATGAACACAAAAAAGGGAACAGACACTGAGGCACTGAGGTCTACTTGAGGGTGGAGGGTGGAAGAAGGGTAATGAGCAGAAAACACAACTATTGGGTACTAGGTTTAATACCTGGGTAACGAAATAATATGTACAACAAGCCCTCATGACACAGGGAGTTTACCTATATAACAAACCTTCACATGTACCCCTAAACCTAAAATAAAAGTTAAAAATCAAACAAAAAAATACTCATAAAATAAAATAAAACACGTTTCTTCTTCTTCTTCTTTTTTTTTTTTTGGAGACAAGTTCTTGCTCTGTTGCCCAAGCTGGAGTGCGGTGGCATGATCTTGGCTCATTGCAACCTCTGCCTCCTGGGTTCTCCTGCCTCAGCTTCCCGGGTTCTCCTGCCTCAGCCTCCCGAGTAGCTAGGACTACAGGCACGCACAACCACACCCAGCTAATTTTTATATTTTTAGTAAAGACAAGGTTTCACCATGTTGGCCAGGCTGGTCCCAGACTCCTGACCTCAAGTGATTCACTTGCCTGCGCCTCCCAAAGTGCTGGGATTAGAGGTGTGAGCCACCGTGCCTGGCCAAACAGGCTTCTTTATTGTAGGATTTCATCTAGCCTATTAAATGACAAAGTATACTGAAAACCTCTAAAGGAGAGGAAATAGTAATGTGGCATTTTCCAAGCTTTATTTGAACCCAGGACACTTTCTTCAAATAACATCTCACTGGACCACAGTTCTAAGAAATCCACACTTGAAAACAATGGCATCTGGGAAAAGTCCATACCCTAATGGCTAGCTTTTAAGTTTCTTTATAATCAGGCCCAATCACTATCCACCCTTGCCCATTCTAGCCATGCATATTACATTCTAGCATGTTTTCAGGATTTTCAAGCCTCCATTCCTTTACTCATGTCTCTGCCTGCAAGGAGCCAGATCTCATTTTGACCTAGCAAAGTCCCATCTCTTCTATAAAAACCCTTCTCCACTTGCCTAAGCAAAAGTATTCACCGTCTCCCCTGTATTCCCACAGACCTTTGTACATCCCTTGATTTTAGCATTTTCACGTCAATCATTATTATACACCTGAATGCCTATTTCTCCAGAGAATGTGGGCGCCTTACAAACATGAACCATGCATTATTCTGTAGCACCCAGCATAAGGCATAGGACAAGGAAGGTACTCAGTATGTGTTGAATGAATGAATGAATATAGATTCTATAAAACACAGATCAAATGATGATCCAAGGCTCTTGCTAATCCTCATCTTGGTAATCAATCTTAACAATTTAAGGGGCTCACCCTGTTATTATTCTCCTACACTAACTTCTCTCACTCTACAGAATCTTTGCCATTAGCATTCAACATGTTAGGATCCTTTTCCATCTTAAAAAACAGAACTTTCTTCAATACCACATTCCCTTTCTGATATTGTCACCTCTCTTTTCTTTCAATACCAAACTTCTTGAAAGAGTTGTCTATTTTGTTTCATTTTCATACATCTTCTTCACTCCTCAAGCTTCTGCCCCTAACCTTACTTTTGAAACGGTCCTAAGTAAGATCATTAATGACTTCATTTTGCAAAATCCAATGTGCAATTTTTAGATGTATCTTATTTGGCCCTTTGACAAGAATGGACAAAGCTAACCAATCCCCTCCTAGAAACATTCTTTCCTTTGCATTCCATGACAGCATTCTTTTGTTTTCTTTCTGCTTCTCTGGTCGTACCTTCTCGGTTTCTTCTATAAGTCCTTAAATACTGGTGTGTTTCTGGATTTTAGACTCAGCTCTTGGGTCTTCTTAACTTATAAACTCATCCTAGGCAAGCTTATCTACTATATTTTTTTTTTTTGAGACGGAGTCTCGGTCTGTTGCCCAGGCTGGAGTGCAGGGGCATGATCTCGGCTCACTGCAAGCTCTGCCCCCCGGGTTCACGCCATTCTCCTGCCTCAGCCTCCTGAGTAGCTGGGACTACAGGCGTCCGCCACCATGCCCAGCTAATTGTTTGTATTTTTAGTAGAGAGGGGGTTTCACTGTGTTAGCCAAGATGGTGTTGATCTCCTGACCTCGTGATCCACCCGCCTCGGCCTCCCAAAGTGCTGAGATTACAGGCCTGAGCCACTGCGCCCGGCAGCTTATCTACTATTATCACACCATTTCCCAGCTCTATGCTGATAATGACTCCCCAGTATATAGTTACAATCTTTCCTTAGCTTCACTCTTGTATTTCTAGCATTCTGTTGGACATTTCTTTTGGGATGTTCCACAGAATAAGTCTAAAATGGAACTTATTATTCCCTCCACCTCCAAACCTGCTGTTCCCTATCTTAATGAGTGGTACTGCCATCCACCTACTTGCCCATATCAGAAACCTAGCCCTCAGCCTTCACTGCTTCATCTTCATTCCCAACATCCAATCAATCTACAAGTCCTTTGGATTTATTACATGTATGTCTCTTGATTCCAACTACAATTTCTTCATCCCCATGATTGATACTCCATCCAGGCCACTCTCATTTCTTATGCAGATGTTTTAGTAGCTTCCTAACTGAGCTTCCAGCCTCTAGGTTTGCTTTTGTCCAACACTTTTCCCACATGGCAACCAGACAGATTTTTCTAAACTGAATATGTCATTCCTCCATTCAAAAGTCTTCAATAATAATCCTACTATCTTTAAGATAAAGAGCAAACTCTCAAGCTTTATGGCGGACTAAAGCTACTCTTTCACTGCAGTATTACTAGATCCTGGATAAAAGCCACCTAACCCCAACAAAAAAGTTAGCAGAGGCTAGAAGGGTGCACTCAGGGAGGGGTGGGGTTATCCTAAGGGCTGATATCAATAGCAATGCTGCTGAAATACTTAGCTGTGGGCCAGTAGCGAGGAGGGGAGCTGGGACTCTCATACTGAGGTAAGATCCTTAAGAGGTGTGCTAAAGTATTCCAGGTCAGAGATGGCCTCTGATTATTGGCAGAAACAAAAGAAGTTAATCCCCTTTGGAGGGAAGCTTCTCAATTTAGCCCCACAGAATTCCTACAGATAGAAATACAGGCTGGGCACAGTGGCTCATGCCTCTCATCCCAGCATTCTGGGAGGCCAAGGCAGGAGGATCACTTGGGTACAGGAGTTCAAGACCATCCTGGGCAACACAGCGAGACCCCTTCTCTACAAAACATTAAACAAATGATCCAGGCATGGTGGCATCTACCTGTAGTCCCAGCTACTCGGAAGGCTGAGGCAGGAGGATCCCTTGAACCCAGGAGTTCAAGGCTGCAGTGAGCTGTGACTGTGCCACTGCACTCCGGCTTGGGAGTCAGAGTGAGACCCTGTCTCAAAAAAAATAAAGTTAAAAGAAAAATAGAAATACAATAATGAGTTTGCAATTAAAAATCAATAAGCACATGGGAAGGCAAGTACCATCAGTCAGCAGAAACAATAAATAACAGATTTAAATCCCCAAGAACCATAAATATTAGAATAGTCAGATGAATACAGAAGAACTAGATATTAAATGTTTAAGAAATAAAAGGCAAAATCACAAGAATGCACCAAAAAAAAATTTATAAAAAACATTTTGGGGCTGGGTGCGGTAGCTCACACCTGTAATCCCAGCACTTTGGGAGGCCAAGGCCGATGGCTCACGCCTGTAATCCCAGCACTTTGGGAGTCTGAGGCAGGCAGATCACGAGGTCAAGAGATCGAGACCATCCTGACCAACATGGTGAAACCCCGTCTCTACTAAAAATACAAAAATTAGCTGGGTGTGGTGGCACGTGCCTGTAGTCCCAGCTACTTGGGAGGCTGAGGCAGGAGAATTGCTGGAACCCAGGAGGCAGAGGTTGTAGTGAGCTGAGATCGCGCCACTGCACTCCAGCCTGGGCGACAGAGCAAGACTCTGTCTCAAAAAGAAAAAAAAAAAAATTTGGGGGGGATAAAGCAAATTTTTAAAAATGAAAAACAGTTATTGAAATAAAGAACAAATGGGCTAAATAGCAGATTAGAGTCAGCTGAAGAGAGAATGAGTGACTTGGAAGATACGTATCTGAAGACATTACCACACAATGCTGAGTCAGACAAGGAGATAAAAAATAGATAAACTAAAGGGTATGAAGAACAGAAGACCTAATATGCTTCTAATTATAGAATCTCAGAAGGAGGCAACAGAAATAACGAAAGAGAGTAACTTTTGAAGAAATAATTGTTGTTGCCAGGCATAGTGGCTCACACATGTAATCCCAGCACTTTGGGAAGCTGAGATGAGAAGACTGCTTGAGCCCAGGAGTTTGAGACCACCCTGGGCAACTTAGCGAGACCCTATCTCTACAAAAAATACAAACATTAGCTGGATGTGTTGGTGCATACCCGCAGTCCTACCTACTTGGGGGGCTGAGGTGGGGGGATCACTTGAGCCCGGGAGGTCAAGGCTGCGGTGAGCTGTGATTGTGCCACTGCACTTCAGCCTGGGTGACACAGAAAGACCCTGTCTCAAAAAAAAAAATAAAAATAAAAGATAATTGCTGTAAATTTTCAAAATGGAACATGAATTTGCAGGTCCAGGAAGTATAATGTATCTAAGATAAATAAAAAGAAATACAGGCTATGGTAGCCAGTCTACAAGTTAGGCTTCAATGATTATCACCTCCTGGTATTCATACCCTTATGTTGCCTTCCAAACTGTATCGGCGTTGGTCTGTGTGACCAATAGCATATGACAAAACTGATGATATATCACTTCTGAGATTAGGTTATAAAAGACCGTGGCTTCCATCTTGGTTGTTCTCTTGTTTTCTTGTTCTTTCCTGGATCACTTGTTCTGGGGAAAGTCAGCTGCCATGTCATGAGCAGCTCCAAGGAGAGGCCCACATGATGAGAAACTGAGGCCTCCTGCCAGCAATCCTGTGAGCCATTTTGGAAGCAGATCCTTAAGCCCTGGTCCAGCCTTCAGATGACTGCAACCCCAGCCAGCAGCTTGACTGCAACCTCATAAGAGACCCTGTGCTAGAACCACCCAGATAAGCTGCTCCTGGATTCTCAACTTAAAAAAATTGTGTGAAAAAATAAATATTGTCTTCAGCAGCTAAATTTTAGAGTAATTTTTACACAGTGATAGATAACTAATACATATGCCAAGACCAAACAGTTCTGAATGGCTTACAAAGAACCTTCTCCATCTGGTCCAGAATGTCTCTCCAGCCTCATTTCTTGCCACGCTCTCTCAAGCACATTACATTTCTAACACGCCAAACTACTTTTAGTTTCTGGAATGCACCATGTTCTCTCCCACCTCCACCTTCTATACAGCTCACGTGATGTGCCCCGGCCTGACACATTCTTCAATACCTTCTGCCCTACTCCTAACACATATAGTCATTTTGCTAACTTCTCCCCATCATCAGAGCACTCATCACATTGTATGATGAAGTCTTGTTAAACTGTGTTTCTATTAGACTTAAGGCTCCAAAAAGGCAGGACAATATCTGTCTCCTTCATTATTATGCCTATATAGTTCCCAACACAGGAAAGGTACTCAGTAAATATTTGTCCCTTATAACCCACAGGATAGGAAAAGGCAGGAAGACTAAAGGTTGAAGAAATGTAAACACTCTCAGGCAATGATCCAAATGAAATCTTCAGCATAGCAACTGATGTAACTATAAAGAAACCAAGAAACTCCTATATTCCATACAACCTCAGGTTTAGGGGAGGCTTGGGATAGAGTCAAAACTCAAAGTTGGATGGTTTCCAGTTCCTCCTAAGTCAAGCCCTGTTGTGGTTTCATTATGATCCTTGAATTGAAATCTCCAAACATCAGAAATACCCATTCTTGAAAGCATACTCACAATTACACTCGAACACCAAATAGAAATTATTTTTTTAATTATAATCTTAAAACCTTCAAATCCGGCCTATTATGTTGATATTTAAGTTATGATCATATATAGTATTTGTGGAATGTGCTTAACTATATACATATACATATGTACACATATACATGTCATAAACTAGTAATCACTAGTACCCTCTACTGGTGGAAATACTTTATCTGCTCATATGAATGGTCTTATTGCCCCCTAGTGATTATAACCTATAAAGACAAAATCCAGCAGCAGATGGGAGAATCTCCTTGGCTACAATGATAGGGTCTTATATTCTTAAAGCATCTGATTTTCTCAGATTCTGGTTTATATTACAGGGGTACAACTCTAAGACTCTTGGGGGGCCCTCTGGGGATTTTGCACAGCTCTTCCCAGCTGTTAGTGCCAGTTCTGAAGCTGCTCTCTCTCCTGCTTCTCATGAACAAGAGGTCAAGGGGAGGCAGACCAAGGCAATGGCTGCACTAGTGAGGGCAAGAACAGCAGCTGTGAATGACTGTCCTGGACTCCCTGGGGAGCTGGGAGCAGCTTGAGTAACACATGTTGGCCCTCCCTTACGTATTATTCACAGTTGTGTACTGTACTAAAATGGCAATTCAACATGGTCCCTGACTTACCTTTTAAATATCTCCAATGCTATAATATCAAGATGTAACTGAAATGTCACCTCTTCTATGAAGCCTTTTCTGAAGTCCCCAGTATATACCTTGTTTAGATTAGAATAGTACTCAGAACACTATTTACACGTTTTTATTTACACCTACAATATTTCACTGTTCCCATTTGTCTATATGCTCGTCTCCTCTACCAAACTCTAAGTTTCTTTTTTTTTTTTTTTTTGAGACAGAGTCTGAGTCGCCCAGGCTGGAGTGCAGTGGCACGATCTTGGCTCACTGCAACCTCTGCCTCCCAGGTTCAAGCAATTCTCATGCCTCAGCCTCCTTAGTAGCTAAGATTACAGGCACGGACCACCATGTCTGGCTAATTTTTGTATTTTTAGTAGAGACGGGGTTTTGCCATGTTGTCCTGGCTGGTCTTGGACTCCTGACCTCAAGTGATCTGCTCACCTAGGCCTCCCCAAGTGTTGGGATTACAGGCATGAGCCACCACACCCAGCCCAAATCCTAAGTTTCTTGAGGTCACAAATCATGTCTTATCCATTTCTGCATACCCAGCATCTAACACACTCAAAATGTTATCCATGTGTTATTGCCAGTTTCCAGTCCATGAAGTAAGTACATAAATTAAATGTAAGCATTTAGAAACTTTCATAGTAATTTGACAAGAGTAATCCTATATCTGTTGAATCTAATTTTAAAAACTGGGGCTTGTATTTTGTATATTTCATTTTTCTGATAATTTTTTTAATATATTACCAAGGTATTGGCCTGCAACCAACAGATAATTTTTTAAACAACAGTCCTTTACCAGAGAGTTGAAAGCATTGATAAGGCAGATAACTTCATGTTTGAAGGAGAGAGGAAGGAAAGAAGAAGGGAGACAAAATATAAGCTTTCTTAAAAAATAAAATTAAGAAGGAATATACCTATCCTTGTTGATTTTAACACTTCCCTGGAGGGTATTTTCTTCTTTAATTCTTGTAAGGCTTCAACAAGATTCTCTTTGGTTTGATCAGGAAGCTCCAGCATAGTTTTCCATCTTTTTATGTCTTCTACAACCACAACTCTCTGGGAAAAAGAAAAGTCATTTGGAAAATGGAACATTTTCATTAGAAAGACATCTGCCTTCACCTGAGCTAATGGGGCTCCTATTGACATATGAATTATTGATTATGACCTGAACCAAAGTACAGTGCATCTGATGGCCCCAAATGATGGGTAATTGCTTAAAAGCAGGTACGGCTTAGTGCAAATCAGGAAGAGAGGTGCATCTATTAGGAAAAGTACAAGTTTTAATTTTACCATCTCAGACACCACTGGGCACTTAGCAGTGAGAGGCAATAAGGATGAGAAGAGAAAAACAATGCTGAGGTGAATCAACTCTATAGCTCACTTAAGAGTGTCTTAATTCATAGGCAAGAACAGCGAGCAGGGAAGTCATAGACATGTTTATGTCAACAATCAAAAGCACACTTCAGTAGTTCCCCACTTCCTAGAGGATAAAATTCAAAACTCTCTCTTGTTCAAATAATTTTTTAAAACTTCAAACACATAGAAAGATACAGAGAGTAACCCACTATTTATAATGGAAAAAATGAACACTTTGCCATTTCACATAAAATAATAAAACATTATAAAGTTTAAGTACCTTTGTACCCTGCATCAACTCATTCCCCTCTTTCCCTTCCTAGAAGAAACTATGTACCATCTTAAAGTTGATATGCATCTTTCCATTAAGTATAAAAAATTAACAGTTAAAGAATCTGGGTAAAGGAGATGGTAAAGTTCTTCACACTGTGTTGCAAACTTTTCTATAGTATTGAAATTATTCCACTAATAATTTTTTAAAAAGTAAAGTGGGAGACTTTTAATTTGCTTTTACAACTACACACAAAAAAATCTCATCTTGGATTGTTATTATCTGAGGGAGGTGGGCACAGTTCGGGAATTGAAGGGGATTCTGGGATTCTGGTAATACTGTTTTTTGATCTGGATGCTGGTGTGTTTATTGTGAAAATTCCTCATATATACTTACAATTTGTGCAGTTTTCTACATGCATTTTCTATATGATAGTTTGATAAAAGCAACAACAAAAAAGTCTTATCTCTCTCCCTTGGCTGGTGTCTGCTTCCAGCCTAGAAGCCTATGGTGGGAGAAGGGTGTTTGATTTCCCTCTCACTCCAACTTTGCTTCTCTTCCTCTCCAATCCACTTGTTTGGTTTGGTTTCTGACCCTTCCAGGTTCAAAGCCAGGAAAAGGAAAAGAGGAAAGGGGAAGGAAAAGCCTTACTTTAACATAGTGATACTATGCTAATCAGGTTTTAGTACTACCTGGACTTGGCAGATGTTGAAAGCTGACTTTCTTTTTCTCGTATAGGTTACTTTTGCAGTTCCTTGGAAAGCTCCCACTGTTGAGTTCCCATACTGTGGGCACTGTCTCCTTCTGCCAGCCATCCACAAGTCCTCCCGCTTCCCCAGTTTTTGGCAACCCACCTCCCACAGGCTCTCCCTATAGGGATCCCAGTGTCCTTCCAAGTATCTTTGTGGACCCATCAATTTTCATTCAACTCCAGGCCACCCAGTATTTTCTCCCACACTTGCCCACATCTTTGTCCTAAAGAATTCGGCGGGTAACAGCCCTCCCAATATACCCACTTCTCCTTTTGACATCAGTCAGCCACTCTCTGTCTTTAGACTTTCCTAGGCAGAGACTGATCTCTGTCCACCAACCCCAGGAACTAAAGTCAAGTTCTCCAAGTGAAAAAATATCGTGGCACTCTTGCTTCATCCAAAGGAATTCTCTCTCCCCTCTTCCTTTAACTTCAACCTACTTTATGGCTTATGGTGGGTGATGGGTTCAGGATCCCAAAACTGGTCTTCAGGTATTGCCTTCTGTATAGATGGTCCAGAATCTCATTGGGAAATATCACTTGATACCTACTGCTTTGTTCTCGGTCTTTAGGGGTATTAGTAAAAACTGAGACAGTCTTTTTCTATGATCTGTTACAATATAAAATGATATTAGTGTTAAACTGTATGAAAAATAAATCAATAAAGCCAAAGGGAAATTTTGAATAGGAAGAAAGTGCAAATATCATGCCTTTTTTACCAATGTATTTTATTGATTTATCCAAACTGAAACATATAATCCCGGTTGGTTGATCTGTTTTAATAATATTGGATAGTATTCCATTATTTTTATACACAAATGTCTTAGAATTTTAAAACTATTCCCCTATTAGGCAGTTTCTTTCCCCATATTTTACATGTTACAAACATTGTTTCAATGAACTCCTGTCTATGACAGTTTTTTGTATATTGTCTTCATCTCTTTACTTTCAACTTCTCTGGGTCATTACACTTTACATAGCCTGTGGCTGCTTTATTTTGCTCCCTGCCTCCTATTCCAATCTGAGAATCTCTATCTTTTAATAGGCATGTTTAATCCATTTGTGTTTATTATGATTACTGATATATTTGAACATATTTTCTCTTCTTTTTTTCTTCTTTCGTATCTTCTTTTTAACAGTTTTCTTTAATCTATTTTTTTCCTTTTTCCTTTTTTTGTTTTTTATAGATGGGGTCTCACTCTGTTGCACAGGCTGGGTGCAGTGGTAACAATCATAGCTCACTGTAGCCTTCAACTCCAGGGCTCAAGCAATCCTCCTGCCAGCTTCCCGAGTAGCTGGGAGTACAGGCGCATGCCACCACGCCTGGCTAATTTTTGTTGTTGTTGTTTCTGAGAAGAAGTCTTGTTCTGTCGCCCAGGCTGGAGTGCAATGGCACAATCTCGGCTCACTGCAACCTCCGCCCCCCTCTCCCCCAACCTGTTCAAGCAATTCTTCTGCTTCAGCTTCCCGAGTAGCTGGGACTGCAGGCATGCATCACCACACCTGGCTAATTTTTGTATTTTTTGTAGACATGGGGTCTCACTCTGTTGCCCAGTCAAACTCCTGGCCTCAACTGATCCCCTCACCTCAGCCTCTGAAAGCACATGGATTACAAGTGTGAGCCACTGTGCCCAGCCCCTTTTTTTTCCCTCTATGGTTTGGAAGTTACTTATTATATTTCTATGATTTGAGTGTTTACCCTTATATATATATATATTTTTGAGACAGAGTCATGCTCTGTTGCCCAGGCTGGAGTGCAGTGGTGAGATCACACTGCAGCCTCGATCTCCTGGGCTCAAGTGGTCCTCCCACCTCAGTCTCCCAAGTAGCTGGGACCACAGGTGGGCCACCACACTCTGCTGATTTTTAAATTTTTTTTGTAGATGTGGGGTCTCACTATGTTGCCCAGGCTGGTCTTGAACTCCTGGGCTCAAGTGATCTTTCTGCCTTGGCCTCCCCAAGTGCTGGGATTACAGGTGTGAGCCACCATGCTCAACCTACCCTTACAATGTTTAAGATGTATACTAACAGAAATTGATACCAGTATTCTCCTCACAAGCCTCTACTTCAGAAACCCCAATTCCATGGCTTCTCTGCCTATCCCTTATGTACTTTTCTCTTTCATATTTCTGTCTCTTCATTTCTGTATGATACATACTAAGTTACTTCTTTAGAAATCCTAAATATTTCTCTTTTTAGCTATGGCTTGCCTATGTTTAACCTGTTTGATGTGTTTCTGCTTCAATAATGATATTTTTTCATTGGACAAGTTCTGTTTTTCTTCTTCTCCAAACTTACCTGTTCTCTTTTCATACTATTCTGTTCTTATCTTATGGTTTCCATTCCTTTATCTCTGTGAACATGAGGTCTGGAGGCAGGGAACCTAAGGCTGATTCGCACTGACTTCCTAGAACTAAATCAAAAGGAAAACCCCAGCCGGGCACAGTGGCTCACACCTGTAATCCCGGCACTATGGGAGGCCAAAGCAGGCGGATCACTTGAGGTCAGGAGTTCGAGACCAGCCTGGCCGACATGGCAAAACCCCATCTCTACTAAAAATACAAAAATTACCTGGGCATGGTGGCACATGTCTGTCATCCCAGCTACTTGGGAGGCTGAGGCACAAGAATCATTTGAACCTGGGAGGTGGAGGGTGCAGTGAGCCGAGATCGCACCACTGCACTCCAGCCTAGGTGACACAGTGAGACTCCGTCCCCCAAAAAAAAAAAAAAAAAAAAAAAGGAAAAATGCACAACCAACAAAACCGGTCGCTTGCCTAGTCTTTATTTGCACAGGGGTGTAATTTTGTAACTTCATTTCAGCCTCCTGGAACCAATCAAACATTTGCATAGGGTGTAACTTTGTAACTTCACTTCAGCCTCTGATTAGTCACCTTCCACAACCAATCATACTGGTTGCAGGCCACTACTTCATTTACTTAGGGTGTAAGCCAAGTAACCAACGGGAAGCCTCTAGAGGGTATTCAAACTATTCAAACCCCAGAAAATTCTGTAACCTGCACTCTTGAGGCTGCTTGAGCCAGCTCACACTCTATGGAGTGTACTTACTTCAGTAAATCTATGCTTTCGTTGCTCCATTTGTTGCTTTACGCATTCTGTCCAATTCTTTGTTCAAAACGCCAAGAACCTGGACACCCTCCACCAATAACAAACATTTTAAACATATTTAAGGTCTCTTTGAGATTGTTTTCTTATCTCTACTTCTTGGAGTAGAAATTCTATTACTTACATCTGTCTGTTCATTCTCTCCCTTGCTAATTTATTTTCTTATAGACTTTGTAATTTCTGACCATTAGTTTATCCTTACAGGGGATTCTGTTCTATGAAAGTCCTCTGCATTCTAGAATATGAAGTGTCTTAATAGAGAAATCTCACATTTGCCTTTGCCAAGATTTGAATTTTCTCAGTTCTAGGCCAGTTTTTATATTAATTTTTTTCAGTTTTGAAAATAGAGTGAATTTAACTACAGCTAGCCTTCTGGATTGGCAGGTTTCACATCTGTGGATTCAACCAACCATAGGTCAAAAGTATTTTTAAAAAAATAGATGGCTGCATCTGTACTGAACACATAGAGACTTTTTTCCTTGTCACTATTCCATTAACAATACAGTATAAAAACTACTTACAAAGCATTTACATTGTATTAGGTATTACAGATTGAGTATCCCTTATCCAAAACGGTTGGGGCCAGAAATGTTTGGGATTTGGGATTTGGGATTTTTCGATATTTGCATTATACGTACTGGTTGAGCATCCCTAATCCAAAAATTCAAAGTCCAAAATGTTCTCATGAGCATTTCCTTTGGGTACCATGTTGGCACTCAAAAGTGTTGGATTTTGTGACATTCTGATTTCAGATTAGGATGCTCAACCTGTATAGTAATCTAGAAATGATTTAGACTATACAAGAAGATCTATATAGAGTATAGGCAAATAGCACACCACTCCATATAACAGACATGAGCATTAGTGGATTTTGGCACCTGTAGTGGGGGTCCTGGAACCAATCCCCTACAGATACTGAGAGATGACTGTACACATATTCATGCATGGTAATAAGAGTGTGGTTCTAATTTATTATTATTGTCCACTCTTTTTCCATCTAAGACCCTGAGAAGGTAACAATCTGCTTCCCTGGACCAGTGGATGGAATTTTTCTAGCTCATTTCTCACAAACATATGGTAGTCCTGTTTCGGCTTCCAGCTTCACATAGGAGATCAATTCTAGCTCCCCACATCACATTAGCCCGAGGTCTTATCTCCCATCCATACTGGCCTTAAAATCCCAGCCCCTAAGCATTATATCTGGATTCAATGTTCCCTGGAACTATTTAGCTTCAGCTCCCATTTACAGCTCTGATTTTGCTTTCCTCTCTCTTCCTGGCACCTAAGGATTTCCCTTTCTTGCTTTCAAGCTCAGCTCTGTATTGGAGACTTTTAATCCAGCATTTCTGCATGGCTGGAATCAGGTTAAGAGTTCCACATCAGATAATATCAACATATGGAACTAAAGAAGTCCAAACTCTTTAGCATGGCATAAAAGGCCTTCCATGACTTGGCTCCTGACATTCTTTTCAGTCTCATCATTTGCTCCAGATACGCCAAACTATTTACAGCTTCCTTTTGAATTTCATACCTTTGCCTGGGATGTTCTTTCTTTACCTCATTTACCTGATAAATACTTATTCATTTTTTAAGACTCTCTTCAAGCATCATGTCTTCTATGAAGCCTTTCTTGCCTCTCCTTTACCACATTTTACCATACTCCACTTTGCGTCCCTCTGCAACTTGTATAGACTCCTATTATTGCATCTATGCTTTCTGCAAATACTTACCATCGACAAGGCTGTCTTTCCCTTAAGGGCTGGAACCATTTCTCATTTATCTCACTATCCCCAGTGCACAGTAGGTGTAACTGAACAAAACTATTTCTACCTTCAAGGACTAAGTACAGTACAGTTTTCAGATATGAAATTTTAGGTCAGGAATAGGAAAAACATCAGTCTATTCAAGAGCAAAAGAATTCCATATATATCAAGAAATGTCTCAATCTCTAACTATGGGCCAGAAAATAGATTGCTCAAATTATTTGGAGGAACAAGAGAAATGGACACAAAATATCAATAAGGACACTACAATGAGGAGTAGAATAGTTATTGCCAGAAAGAAGATGTGCTTTCCAATATACCATCTGGTTTTACAGTTGTGGATTGCTGAAATGTCAGGTTTGACAAAACCAATTAGGGAAAATGATTCACTCATAAGCAGTTACGTGGGCACCATTCCACTGGTGGGGGCAGGAGGCAACATATTGGCTAGTTGATCCTACAAAGGCAGGAAAGGTTCATAGAACCTTCTGAAGTGATGAACCTAAAAGAATGAGTATACTCTAGGACCTTTTAATTTAAAAAATTCTCTTATTGCAACCAACAGAAGAAATCACTTCCTCTTAAGGGAGTAAAAAGAGATTAACCAAATTAACCTTTACCACTTAAATGGACATTACATGAGCTCTATTGAGAATCACTTTTATAGAATGTGATACACCTATGGCAAAATTACTTGTAATATATACTGATAACAGAAGTACAATGGTCCTAATATTCCAAGATTTTTATACCTCTTCAGTTTGGCATTCAGAAACTTCCACTTTTTTTTTTTTCCAGCTCACCCTATCTATAGGGGACAGACTATGAACCCAGATTATCTAGTTCAAATCCCAACTTTGCCACTAATGGCTACATGACTTCAAGCAAGCTACTTAATCTCTCTGTGCCTTAGTTTTTCATCTGTAAAATATAAATGATAAAAGCATACATATCACAAAGCTATTATTAAGATTTAAAGAGTTAATATATGTAAAGCATTAGTTAGCACAATGCCTGGACCATAAAAATGGACTCAATAAATGTTAGTAGTAATCCTTATTACTACTATCATCCTCCTCCTCCTCAGCTTTGGTTTTACTATACAAGCCCCTCCTTTTCCATACATGAAAAGAGGAAACTATTGGTTTTTACTACATACCAGGCACAATGGTTAGCCCTTTCAATATGAATTTATTTATTTCACTCTCATAATAATCATGCAGATGGGGTACTGTTATTTCTGATGTTACTGATGAGGAAACTGAGGCTTAAACATTTAGTAGGTTCTTGGCATTAAAACATAATGCTCATGTTTGGAAGTCACTTGGCAGAAAGTGGACCTAGCTGATTCTAACATTCACATTTAACTCAATTTCTTTTTAATTTGCCATTGTGAACACACCAAGCATCATGCATACATAGAGGAAACAGAAGAGCACATACCACTCATTGAATGGTTATATGTCACTACTTCCCTAGAGTATATCAGACCTAGTCAAATCCTCCTGTCCCTTTATGGTGCCCTGCCACATAGCCTTCTTTGGGCACTAAAACAGGGACTAAGCTCTCTCTTCTCTTACCTCTTTTTTTTTTTGTTTGAGACAGAGTCTCGCTCTGTCACCCAGGCTGGAGTGCAGTGGCATGATCTCGGCTCACTGCAACCTCTGCCTTCCGGGTCCAAGTGATTCTCCTTCCCCAGCCTCCTGTAATCACGAGTAGCTAGGATTACAGGCGCCCACCACCACACCCGGCTAATTTTTGTATTTTTAGTAGAGATGAGGTTTCACCATGTTGGCCAGGCTGGTCTCAAACTCCTGACCTCAGGTGATCTGCCCACCTCAGCCTCCCAAAATGCTGAGATTACAGGTGTGAGCCACCACGCCAGGCCTCTTCTCTTACCTCTTAGCCCTTATTGTCTATATGACAATTCTGTAATGGATCACATATAATTTTTCCTCATTATTTTATTTTATTTTTGAGACAGGGTCTTGCTCTGTTGCCCAGGCTGGAGTACAGTGGTATGATCATAGCTCACTACAGCCTCAACCTCCTGAGCTCAAGCAATCCTCCTACCTCAGCCTCCCTAGTGGCTAGGACCATAGGCGCATGCCACCACGCCCGGCTAATTTTTTTTTTTTTTTGAGATGGAGTCTCGCTCTGTCGCCCAGCTTGGAGCGCAGTGGCGCAATCTCAGCTCACTGCAACCTCCGCCTCCCAGGTTCAAGCAATTCTTCTGCTTCAGCCTCCCAAGCAGCTGGGACTACAGGCGCGCGCGACCACGCCCAGCTAATTTTTTATTTTTAGTAGAGACAGGGTTTCACCATATTGGCCAGGCTGGTCTCAAACTCCTGACCTCATGATCCACCCGCCTCAGCCTCCCAAAGTGCTGGGATTACAGGTGTGAGCCACTGCGCCTGGCTGCTAATTTTTTTTGGTAAAGATGAGGCCTCACCATGTAGCCTCACCATGTAGTTTGGTCTCAAACTCCTGGGCTCAAGTGGTCTTCCTGTCTTGGCCTTCCAAGTGCTGGGATTATAGGCATGAGCCACCACACCTGGCTTCATTATTTATTAACTTCTTATAATTTGATCACTTTTCAGGAAGTTTCATGAGGGTTTGTATTTTGATCTTAAGTTTCTCTCATGTTCTCTATAGTACTTAGCATTGTGCTGGGCATAAGCTGTTTCACAACATTTGTAGAATACTTTACTATCAAAACCCTACAACGGCATGCCAGAATACAGATGATTACTGTTTATTCAATACATTTTACCTACAGTGTAGCAGGCACTGTGTTAGGTTTTGGAGCAGATCAGAACATAATAAGATATTACAGTCCCGGGTCTCAGGAATTCATAGTGGATTGGAGAAAGCTACAGGTAATCAGACAATTACAATACAGTAAAGTAAATGCTTCCACAGATATTTGAACCAAACGTTGAGAGTACTAATGAGGGAAGGATTAACTCCCTTAGAGAACCCAGAAAGCATTTCAACATTCATTTATTTGACAAATATTTATTGACCACTTAATATGTGTCAGGCACTGTGCTACGTCCAAGGGCAGAGAAGTAAATAAAATACTCAAGATCCTGACAGAGTGTGGTGGCTTACGCCTGTAATCCCAGCACTTTGGGAGGCCAAGGCAGGTGGATCACCTGAGGTCAAGAGTTCAAGGCCAGGGTGGCCAAATGGTGAAACTCCATCTCTACTAAAAATACAAAAATTAGTTCGGTGTGGTGGCAGGCACCTGTAATCCCAGCTACTTGGGAGGCTGAGGCAGGAGAATCGCTTGAACTCAGGAGGCAGAGGCTGCAGTAAGCTGAGATCATGCCACTGCACTCTAGCCTGGGTGATAGAGCAAGACTCTGAGTTGAAAAAAAAAAAAAAAAAGAAAACTCAAGGTCCTGTACTCATGGAGTTTATAATCTAAGATTTATAGGCAAAGTAGTTCTTGAGTGGGTTGACAAATGGGTAGAAATTGACTCTGTAAAAAGAAACAGAAGGGCTTTCAAGGAAAAGGGACAAGCATCAAGTTCAAGGAAGCCCTGAAGGCATGGAAGGGAAGAGCTTATACAAAGAACAGCAAGAGGCTGGGCACAGTGGCTCACGCCTGTAATCCTAGCACTTTGGGAGGCCGAGGCGGGAGGATCACGAGGTCAGGAGTTCAAGACCAGCCTGGCCAAAATAGTGAAACCCCGTCTCTACTAAAAATACAAAAATTAGCTGGGCATGGTGGCGTGTGCCTGTAGTCTTAGCTACTTGGGAGGCTGAGGCAGGAGAATCGCTTCAACCCAGGAGGTGGAGGTTGCAGTGAGCCAAAATCTCGCCACTGCACTCCAGCTTGGGCAACAGAGTGAGACTTCATGTCAAACAAACAAGCAAACAAACAAAGAACAGCAAGAAATAAGGTGTGGCTGGAATGCGTACATATAAAGCAGGGGCTACAAGGTATGAGACGATAAGCGCACTGGGGTAGAACAGGTCTCACGTGCCATGCCAAGCCTTTTATTTTACTTCATTTGGTCATTCAGAAAAATGTACTGCAGCCTACTATAGGCCAAGTCCTGTGCCAGGAACCAGTGACACAAAATCAATGAGACATAGTCTTTCAAGAAGCTCAGAGTATAGCGGGGCACAGGCATGTAAAGAAACAACCATGATACAGCACAAATAAGTGCAATGATACAGACATGTTTAATATACAGGGATGGCTCAGAGAAGGGAGTGATTAGATTGGCTCTGCGTCTCAGGGACAAAAGGGTGGTCAGGAAGGGCCCAATAGTAGAGGATTTGAACTAGGTCATGGGAGATGAATAGGATTTTATAAAGTAATGATAATAACAATAATAGCAAAGACTTACAAAGTACTTAGTATTGGCCAGACTCTGTACCAAACACTTTACATATGTTGACTCACTCAAATTTCATAATACCTTATAAAACAGGTATTATTAATCCCCATTTTATAGATTAAGATGGACACAGAGAGGCTAAATAACTTGACCAAGGTCACGAAGGTAGTAAGTAGCAGAGCTGGGATTTTAGTAAGGCAGTCTGGCTCCAGAGTCTATGTTCTTAATTATTGCATTATATTGCCTCCAAGACAAGATAGTAAGGGAATTCCAGGCAAACAGGACAGTATATGCAAAGGCACAGAGGAAGGAAAGAGCACAACATCTTTGGGGAATTGTGAATGGTTGACATTGGATGAGGCATAAATAAAAAGACTAGCAGGGGATGAGGCAGGCAGGCGCCAGGTCATGGAAGGCCTTGGGTGTCATGTAAAAAACTGTGATCTTTATTGATGGGTAATGAGAAATTATTGAAGGATTAGGCAGGAAAGTGACCTGAGTAGATTTTCTTTTCTATTTGAGACATATTTCTCTGGTGTAAGAGTGGAAGGGAGGTGAATGCGGGATGTCAAAGGCAGGGAGACAAGTCAACAGACCATAGCACTGCTCTAGATGAGAAGTATGATTCTGAACTTAAAGTGGAAGACAATCAAGTGAGTATGGGCAAGAAGGATTTTTAGGAAGTAAAACTAAAAATTGGGGCCAGGCGTAGTGGCTCATGCCTGTAATCCCAGCACTTCAGGAGGCCAAGGAGGGCAGATAGCTTGAGCCCAGAAGTTCAAGACCAGACTGGACAACATGATGAAATCCTGTCTCTACAAAAAAAAAAAAAAAAAAAAAAAATTAGCCAGGTGTGGTGGCATGTGCCTATAGTCCCAGCTATGATGTGATCATAGTCCCATGATCACATCACTGCATTCCAGCCTGGGTGACAGAGCGAGACCCTAAAAAAAAAAAAAAAACAAAGAAAAAAGAAAATTGGATATGAGAAAAAAGAGTTAAGGATGGTTCCTAGATTTCTAGTCCCAGTTACTTGGTATACGGATATACATTAATACAGGAGAACAAGGAAGAGGTTTGGAAGAAAAGCTAATGCATTTAAGGGGAATGTTATTAAATATGCCTTTTGTTTTATTCTTTTTTTTTTTTTAAATGGTGTCTCACTTTGTCACCCAGGTTGCAGTGCAGTGGTACCATCCTGGCTCACTGCAACCTCCAGCTCCCAGGTTCAAGCAATCCTCCCAGCTCAGCCTCCCAAGTAGCTGTGACTACAGGCGCTCCCCACCATACCCAGCTAACTTTTGTATTTTTTGTAGAGATGGGGTTTTGCCAAGCTGCCCAGGCTGATCTCGGACTCCTGGGCTCAGGTGATCCATCTGCCTTGGCCTCCCAATGTGCTAGGATTACAGGCATGAGCCACTGAGTCCAGCCTGTTGTTTTATTCTTATTCCATAATTTTCACATCATTTATTTTCATCATCACACATAGTGATTTTCAACTAGGGCACGAGCAGGAACCCAGAGGGGAGAGCGGTAGGAGGAGGTATATTAGAATATGGGTGTTTGGGCCAGGTGCCGTGGCTCACGCCTGTAATCCCAGCACTTTGGGAGGCCGAGGTGGGCAGATCATGAGGTCAGGAGTTCGAGACCAGCCTGGCCAACATAGTGAAACCCCATCTCTACTAAAAATACAAAAAATTAGCCAGGCGTGGTGGCGGGCACCTGTAATCCCCACCACTCGGGAGGCTGAGGCAGGAGACTCGCATGAACCAGGGAGGCAGAGGTTGCAGGGAGGCAGAGGTTGCAGTGAGCCAAGATCCCACCATTGCCCTCCAGCCGGGGCGACAGTGCAAAACTCCGTCTCAAAAAAAAAGAAAAGAAAAGAAAAGAAAAGAATATGGGTGTTTGTAGGTGTAGGTGAGTGTATATGTAGTTCAACTATTCCTTCCCACCTTTTTCCTGGAGAGAGTCTGACATGATCCCTCATTGAGAATCATTGCTATGTACAATTATCCATGAATATTCTGACAAGGTAGAGACAGTTGAAAACCTTGAATGTGTTCTATGCAGTCACAGAACTGCAAGACTAGGACAGACTTTAAAGATCATCTAGAGTTTGGTAGGGCTCAATCAAGTGCTGTCTGGAAAAATGAGAAGGCATTTTCAGTTATCAGAATGGGAGGTGCCATTGGCATTAAGTGCCTGAGAGCCAGGGATGCTAAGTATCCTGTAAACCACCAGCAGCTCCAAATAATGAAGAATTATCTTGCCCCATACAACAATAGCACCCCTTGAAGAAACACTGATATAGTTCAATCTCCACGTTTTATAGATGAGGAAACTGAGGTCTTAGAGAAGGGACTGACTTGCTACTAAAGATCACCCAGTTACCAGTAAGGCCTGTTTATACTCTCCTTCACTGCTTTCCAATATGGGTCTCCTAAGCCTGTGGGACATCCAGAAAAGGAGTCCAATTGAGTATATGTCAAGTACTCAGAATGCTGCCTTGCTCTTACAATCCTTTGCACATTTTCTCTAGCCCCAGATCCTCCTCCCACCTTCTGAAACCTAGGCTGGAGGTGCAGGTTTGGCAGTTTTAGCACAGAAAGCCTAAAGAATGGATAATGTCATCCTGGCCAAATACATAAAATGTGACAGAACTCTGAGGAGAACAAACATTAGGAACCTAGTGGAGGAAGAAGAATTGGTAAAAGAAAATGAAAAAGTCAGAAATTTAAGAGGCAAGGTTCAGGATGACAAAGGGGACTAAGTACAAGTTGTTTTGTTTTGTTTTAGTAAAATAATTACTTTAGCATTTATTGGGTAACTATGTTGATTGATACATTGTATCTACTCTTTGCATCTTGCTTGCAGACATCAGACTGACTTCAATGTAGCAAGAGCTCATTAAAACAGCCTCTTTCCAGCTGGGCACAGTGGCTCATGCCTGTAATCTCAGCACTTTGGGAGACAAGAGGCGGGTGGATCATTTTGAGGTCAGGAGTTCAAGACCAGCCTGGCCAACATGGTGAAACCCCATCTCTACTAAAAACAAAAAATAGCCAGGCATCTGTAATCCCAGCTACTTGGGAGGCTGAGGCAGGAGGATCATATGAAGCCGGGAGGTGGAGGTTGCAGTGAGTCAAGATCGTGCCACTGTACTGCAGTCTGGGTGACAGAGTGAGACCCTGTCTGAAAAACAAAAACAACAACAACGACAACAAAAAAACAGCCTCTTTCCCAGTCTCAGCTGAAGCTGTAAAGCTGTTTGATACAGTTCTGGGCAGTGTGACAGATGTGAGAGAACAGCATCAAAGCCCACCCCTTAATAAGTTTGTACAGGGTAGGTATATAGAATCATATTTGGTACTTTAACATTCCTAACAGACTACATTTTGCAAAAGAATAACAACGAAGGGGACTTGTCCTACGAGCTAGCACACATGGTGTAAACCGGAGTAATTACAAGGGTGTAGCAGGGGTGTGCAGAAATTTATAAATGTAAGTCTGTACAGCTATGGGCGAAACAAAGGAGGAGTGGTCAGGTACACTTTGAGGAGGAGGCATAACAAGAAATAATTCATAGGTCTTTCCACAACAGAACCTCTAGCACCACCTTGCTATCAGTCCTTTGCACATTTCCTCTAGCCCCAGATCCCCTCTCACCTTCAGAGATTCAATCGTGGCCTGCTTGTAAACCTTTCCTCCAGAATCTTTCTTCTGAGGGCTATTCTGGATTCTAGGCGTTCGAATGACGAATTTATCCATTGTTAGGGGACTCCGACTACCTTGACGTGCTTGCAGCGTGTTCTGGTCAAGAAAGAGGGCAGATTCTAAAACCCCACTAAAGACTGCCATGATATTTTTTCCCCAAAGTAACACAATTGAGTTCTCTGGAAGAATTCATGAATTATGGGGCCTCGAGTGGAATTGACAGGAAGTAAGATTTTCTCTTTAAAAGAAAGATCTTCCGAAGAATTGAAACTGTAATCAATCATCAGTCTACGTCCTGAGTTAGGAGGTTCCTAGCTTCCAGAAGTGCACGCTCTAGCGAGGATTCCAACATTGGGGGAATTGGCCCAATATTGGAATCCCCGCTAGAGCGTGCACCTAAGCCCTCTTCCAAATAAGATTGGGCTGTGAAAGGGTTAGGATTACATTAGGCTCAGTGACGCCCTCTTAACAACCACCTCACCACAGCCATAATCCCAAGGGTTGCCCTGGTAATCAGCAACCGACAACCACCTCCAGAACTCAGCAGAGGGTCTCACAATACGCAGCATCCCCTAGAACAAACTGCTCGGTGGTCAGAGGACCCTACCCACGGCTGTAATCTCTGGATCCCCGAACAAGGAGAAACCCCATCCTCCTCGTTCCCAGCACTCAGGAGCCCGGGTAGGGGCACCCAACAACGGTCTGACGTGAGACCCACCAGGAAAAGCAGCCCTGGTAGCTGCTGTTGGCGCCCTCCAGACTGCAACCTCGTAGGCTCCCAAGCCCAGTCGTCTGTGTTGAAACTAAACAGACGCTTCCTCCCAGGGCGGTAGTTCCTCTGAAGAAACTCCGCCGGCCCTCGCGCCTCTGGGCCACAGCGAACCACATTCCCCAGAATGCACTGCGAAGAAATGCGGGCGGAAGGCGCGCTGAGGGCGGCTGTAGTTTTCCGAGACCAACTTTCCCGACAGCACCGTGCGCCTCCCGCCTACGGAGAACTACATGCCCCAGCCTGCCCCGCGAAGGGAAGAAGTCAGGAGGCCCCGCTTCGCGCTAACGCTTGCGATGGTTGAATTCCCCTCCTCACGCCAGCCTAGGAGAAGAAGTTCGTAGTCCCAGAGGTGAGGCAGGAGGCGGCAGTTTCTGGCGGGTGAGGGCGGAGCTGAAGTGACAGCGGAGGCGGAAGCAACGGTCGGTGGGGCGGAGAAGGGGGCTGGCCCCAGGAGGAGGAGGAAACCCTTCCGAGAAAACAGCAACAAGCTGAGCTGCTGTGACAGAGGGGAACAAGATGGCGGCGCCGAAGGGGAGCCTCTGGGTGAGGACCCAACTGGGGCTCCCGCCGCTGCTGCTGCTGACCATGGCCTTGGCCGGAGGTTCGGGGACCGCTTCGGCTGAAGCATTTGACTCGGTCTTGGGTGATACGGCGTCTTGCCACCGGGCCTGTCAGTTGACCTACCCCTTGCACACCTACCCTAAGGTAGGGCCCGTCCGGAGCGGGCTGCGACCCTTCCCTTGCAGCCCATTTCTCGGCTCCCCACACGTATGTCGGCTCTGGCAACCTGGCTGTTAAATCGGCCCTTCAATCGCTGTCTCCCATCTGTGTAGCTCCTGTTTTCCTCCCTAATCCTGCCTGCACCCCATTTCTGCTGTCATTACCGGAAGTTTGTCCTGCACTACCCTGTGATAGGCTGGGGGACACAAAGATGAGAAAGACGCGATCCCTTTCCTCTGGGAGCTTGCCGGGCTGCAGGGGAGTCGAGCACTCGGAGGAGGATAGGGGAGGATATGGATGATTAATGCGGGGTCCTCACCTAAGGGAGCGTAAGGGGGGATTGTAGAAAGGGAGGCGCAGATACGCGAGTCCACAAATGATTGATTGATAACCCTTGTTTACTAAGCGCCTCTCGGGGCCAGGAGCGCAGTCTTCGGGGAGTCAGACAAGTAGACGATTCCACTGTGGTATAAAAAGCGTCACGAAGGCAGCTCAGGGAGTAGCGAGACGCTCAGGAATGCTGTCTGCCTATGTTGAGTTACTGTGTCCAAGACGCTGCCAAGAGGGACTGGGTTAGAGAAGAGGCAATTAGGTGTCTGCCTACCAGAAACTGACCACTCAGTGCAGAAAACGGGGAATTCGTGGAGTGGGTGAAGAAATGAGACTGTGGACAGGAGGGGGTTCGCAGCTTACAGAGAGGAATGGCCCTCCTCTCTATGCTTCCCCCCTTTCTTTTAATTACATACCTAACCCTCTTCACGTTGGTTTTTCAGCCTAAGAACTCTGTTTACTCAACATTCTAAATTGCTTGATGATTCCCACCACACCTTTCCCATGTATGATTTGAGTATATGCCCTCCCCCACGTTGTTTTATGAGAGCTTTTGTTGATGTTGCTGGTGGTTTCCTCTTCGTTTTTCCTTCATCTCCTCTATGCTATTTGCTTAACCATTGTGGCTGGACCTCCTTGCTCTCTAAAACTGGAGTGGCTACGGAGACAGTTCCAGTGAAGCTTAGGATGTTCCATATTGGCGAGTATTTTCAGGTCTTTGAAATGAAAAGTTCTAAGTGCCGGCACTTCTCAGATTTTGTTACGGCTGGATTTTAAACTGCATGGAGATTATCAATTTTCAAAAAAAAGTGTGGGAGAAGGGACTGTACTAAATTTTTCCAGAGATTTATGTAACAATCGAGAAAGAAGTGAGAAGTTTTAACTTCAGACTTAAATCAATGAATACTGCTTCTAACCACGTTATTTTTCTCCACCTCTTGTAAACTTCTCATCATTAAGAGGATTGTATGAAGAAGCTCATTAATATTGATTTGGCCTGGAATTGGGTTGAGACTTACTTTCTATTGTTCTAGGGTTTGTTTCCTTTTTTGGGATTTTCTCGGCAATTTTGTGGTATAAACCAGAATGTTGGGAAAATAATCAAATAATTTGAAAGGATACCTTCCTGGAAGTTGTAGGTACTTTAATAATGTCCACTATTTTCTAACAATTGGTGTTATATCTATAAACTATTTTTACTTATTTATTAAAGCTTTTCTCACAAAGAACTCCAAATCATCTGGCTCCCTATAGGTCCTGGACTTGAAATTTATATAGACTCCACTGTTAGCCAGAGTGATGGGAGATTTATCATACCATTATCCCTAATTCTCACAACAACCCTGTAAAGTAGGGTTTTAAAATTAAGGAAATTGAGGCTCTGAAAGGTTAAGTGACTTGCCTAAGGTCACATACCCAAGAAATAGTGGAGCAGGAATTCAGCTTAAAACTGGCTACACTATGCTGCCTCCTATTAATAAACTTGCATTAAACATATTCGGCCGGGTGCGATGGCTCACGCTTGTAATCCCAGCACTTTGGGAGGCCGAGGTGGGTGGATCACCTCAGCTCAGGAGATTGAGACCAGCCTGGACAACATGGCAAGACCCCGTCTCTGGAAAAAAGAAAAACAAAAAAACTAGCCAGGCATGGAGACGAGCACCTGTAGTCCCAGCTACTCGGTGGGAGGCTTGCTTGAGCCTGGGAGGCGCAGGTCGCAGTGAGCCGAAATGTCGCCAGTGCACGCCAGTCTGAGAATGAGACCGTGTCTCAAAAAAATAAAAATAAAAAAATGCCGGGCGCGGTGGCTCACTCCTGTAATCCCAGCACTTTGGGAAGCTGAGGCGGGTGGATCACCTCAGGTCAGGAGTTCAAGACCAGCCTGGCCAACATGGTGAAACCCTGTCTCTACTAAAAATACAAAAAAATTTAGCCAGTCGTGGTGGCGGGCGCCTGTAATCCCAGCTACTCAGGAGGCTGAGGCAGGAGAAGCGCCTGAACCCGGGAGACAGAGGTTGCAGTGAGCCCGCGCC
Organism: Homo sapiens; assembly: GCF_000001405.40. Classification (NCBI taxonomy): domain Eukaryota; kingdom Metazoa; phylum Chordata; class Mammalia; order Primates; family Hominidae; genus Homo; species Homo sapiens. The sequence continues at coordinate 54,050,621 of NC_000001.11, read as the reverse complement.
ACCGCACTCCAGCCTGGGCGACAAGAGGGAAACTCTGCATCAAAAAAAAAAAAAAGAAACATATTTAATTATGTCACTGATTTCTATTGGCTCTCCTCTGTGCTTTGTGCTCCAGGAAAAAGCACTGTGTATTGTAAGAAATTAGATGAATTTTCAAACTCACATAGCGTTTGAAAAACGAGATAGAAATCTCGTTTTAGGCTGGGCGCGGTGGCTCACGCCTGTAATTCCAGCAGTTTGGGAGGCCGAGGCGAGTGGATCCTGGGTGGTCAGGAGTTCAAGATCAGCCTGACCAACATGGTGAAACCCCATCTCTACTAAAAATACAAAAATTAGCCGAACATGGCGCACGCTTGTGATCCCAGCTACTCAGGAGGCTGAGTCAGGAGAACCGCTGGAACCCGGGCGGTGGAGGTTGCAGTGAGCCAAGATTGTGCCACTGCACTCCAGCCTGGGGGACAGAGCAAGACTGCATCTCAAAAAAAGAAAAAAAAAAAAGAAATCTCAGACACTTTTTGAGAACTAATTATTTGTTGCAAGAAAGTAGAATACCTGTTTGTAAATAGTTATTTTTAAATTATTCTATGTTTTATCTACAGAAGTGCAATTGCATAATTTATCTCGGTCGAAAAAACAAGAGACATAAATCATGTTAATAAAAAAGCTAATTAGAGCCAGCCTGGTCATTTTTTAATGGAGTGTGGTCTCTAGAACCATACAGACCTGGTTTTATTCCCAGCTCCTTGATTACTGTTTGTCCTTGCTGATCACTTAACTTCTATTTATTTATTTTTTAATTTAAAATAATTGAAACAGGGTCTTGCTGTGTTGCCTAGGCTGGTCTCAAACTCCTGGGCTGAATGGGTCCTTATGTCTTGACCTCCCAAAGTGTCGGGATTACATGCATGAGCCACGGTGCCTGGCCTAAATAGTACCATTGAGGGACCTTCTAATTATGAATTTAGCTGGTATTTCATATGGTGGAAGCACTATTTATTGTGTCCTAAATCAGAGGAGATACATGTTATATAAACTTGCCAGTCATTTGGGATACATAGGGCATGAAATATTTACTTGAAATCATTATTTTTGTATATATAACATGAAATACTTAGAATAAAGATATGATTCTTGATAGCTACCAGTTGAGTGCCTGCTCCATACCAGATGTTTCATAATTTGTTAAGTCTTAATACAGTGCCTGGCACATTGTGGATGCTCATTAAATATGTCTGTCTATTAGATAGTACTACATAGTAGTAATGCTATTGTAGATATAAATATATAATTCTCCTAATAGTGAAGATTGACACTCTGCAATTATACAGGCAGTAGAAAATAAATGAATAGTAGTTAGGATTGATGTAAGAGTATTGTCCTTATTTTACAACTGAGGAATTAGATTAAGTAACTTGTCAAAGGTTGTGCAGAATAAGTGGCAAGTCTGAGCTTCAAACCAGGGCCGATTCCTGAAACCTCGGCTCTTTTCACCATGCCATATGGTTTTCCGAAATTGGTACTGGATGACTTATTAAAGGAAAGCATATCTGAGAATGAAATGGCATGTGGTATAGCTCATACTAATGAGCTTATGCTTCCTTTGTGCAATATAAGGAAATATGTGGTGCTCCAGAGACATAAAATAATTCTTTAACTGTTTTACAAAGCCTGCAACAGCTACTCAGATATGAAATCTATCTCAATTGTTAAAATTCTTTCAATTTCATCTTAACAGTAAATGCAGTTGGAACTGAGGTCCAAAAGTGTGCTACCTTCAAAGTTGTATGATAAAGTATATTTAATATTAGACTGCAGGCATCTCTTCTTGATGGATTGTTGCTGCTGCGTAAATTTTACTAATCCTTTTGCTGGAAAGAAATACATAGCTTGTATTTCATTGGTTGCTAACTGGTATATGCACATGCTGTTTCCTTATTAGGTGTCTGCCAGTTTGTACACAGTGGATCACATAGTAAGTCGAGGGGGCTCCCCCATATGCAATAGCTTTTTTTAAATACTTTTATTTTATCAAAGAAAAACAGCTGAAGACATTAGTCTTATTAAGCAGTTAATATTTTACAGTAATGAAGAACCAGATGTCCATCCTGTCTTAAGCTTTCACACGTATACATTGATGCCTGTAATTGTTTTCTATTTTAAAAATCTATTAACACTATTACCATTTATTAAGCACCTTCTACATCCCAGGCACTATACTGGAAATAGCTTCCAAATTATTGAGGAATTTGGAGATAATGGCTGTTCTCTCCTTTTTTGATGAGAAAGCTGAGATTCTTAGACAGGTAAAATAACTTATGCACTCACCCAAAAGGTTTGATCTAGGTCTGGCTGATTGCAGTGTCCTTTCCCATACACCACACTGTTGCTCCTGTGTTTTCATTTAATGTAAGCCCAGTTTTAAAAAATCCCTTCATATAAACATTTTTATAGATGTATACCTTACTTTATCAGGCCCTTGTGTCACCATTTGCCATGTGAAGCTAGTCTGATACTTTTCCTGATAAGCCTGGTGATTCATATAAACAGGGATGTGGCAGAAGTATGCCATTGGTCCTAGGGTACTTGCTTACTCCTATCGCTGTTAAAGTTCTAGTTATATCACCGTTGTGTTTTTTGTTGTTGTTGTTTTTTAAGCAACAGGGTCTCACTTTGTACCCCAAGCTGGAGTACAGTGGTGTGATTATAGCTCACTGTACCCTCAAACTCCTGGGCTCAAACAATCCTCACACCTCAGCCTACTGAGTACTAGGACAACAAGTGTGCACTACCATACCCAGTTATTTTTGTGTGTGTGTTTGTTTTGGTACAGATGGGGTCTCGCTATATAGTCCAGGCTGGCCTCAAACTGTTGGCCTCAAGCAGTCCTCCCACCTCAGCTTCCCAAAGCCCTGGGATTACAGGTGTGAGCCACTGCACCTGGCCTGTCACTATTAGTTTTATTTTTAATTTTTCCCCCCCACAGATTGTAACCAAAGAAAATGGAAAAAGGGTGGTGGTTTTACCTACTAGGCTTTTTTCTTCGTATCACTTTTAAAATAAGGAACTAAAACCTCTATATGGCAAAGGTCTTGAGTATCAACTGGCTCCTATCATTTTTTTCTTTCAGTTATGAAACTTACTGGACGATTTGTAATAAACTTTACTAACTGCTTTCTTCCTAACCTGTTTTCCCCTGAGGAAAAAAAAATACTATTTTTTGGTAACCCTTCCTGTTCTTGAACTCCCTAGGAAGAGGAGTTGTACGCATGTCAGAGAGGTTGCAGGCTGTTTTCAATTTGTCAGTTTGTGGATGATGGAATTGACTTAAATCGAACTAAATTGGAATGTGAATCTGGTAAGATGCTATGCTAACGACATCAGCTGTATGTAACATTGTTTTCTTTGTGATAAGCTTTTGAAGTATTTTCTTTAGGAAATGGAAAACACACTGTTGAAACTAGTCATCTAACATATTGTAATTATTATGGATCTAAGAGTTTTCGTAGCTGCTGCTAGAAATTTCATGGGCTTTAAATTTCATCTGTTTGTTGAGACAGTGTTTATTTTCTGCTATGAATAGGACACCTTTGTTTAACCAAGCATTCTGTCAGACAAATGCAGTATAATTACCCTACTCACAATTCATTACTACCTTTTCACAGATAGTATAATTTTCCTAAACCTTTCAATCATAAGTTCATCGACTTATCTCCAAGTTTTTTACTGAATCAGGCCTTTGACTCAGTATTTAATAGCATATTATTCATTGGTCAGGCCATTAAAATAAGTAGCCAGAGGCTTTGTCATCTGTTAAACCACTTTTCTTTCTTTTTGCTGAAAGCAATATGTTTAACAAAAGAAACCTATAATCAGGACACAATTGACGTTTAACTTTTTAAATAACTATAATGGAATATTCTCCACTCGTTACACTGTTTATTAGTGTAGAAGGAGGCACCTTTTCCCCTATCACTATGCCATGGCTCACATACAGTCTTCTTTGATATCATAACCGTATTTTTGCGGCTTAGTCTCCTAACTGATCATCTTTATATATGCATAATGCTGTCCAGTTTATTATCTAGCACTTCTGAGAAGTGTATTACAAATGCATTACTGAGTTGGGAAAAAATAAAATTAGGATAGTGGTAAAATGTTATATCACAAGAAGGAAATGGATTTAATGAACTAAATGAGAGTATATCTGGTAGAGACCCATTTCAACATTAGAATTATCTGCTGTAGAACATTTTCTAGTTCAATTTTCTTAGACTTTCAGATGTTAGGCTGATTGTTTTATTTTTCTTTTGCCATGTGCATACCCTTACTTCTTAACTGAGTGATCTGGTTCTTAACAATAATACCTTATATTTGTATAAATCATTAAAATATATTATTTCATTCAACCCTATACAATAGGTTGTGGTATTTCTATTTTACACATATAGAAATCAATAGTCAGAGGTTAAACTGCTCAGCTCAGGTCACACACACCAACAAATGATGGAACTAAACCTTTTTGAGTGGCATCTTCAGGATGCCAATCCAGTGCATTTTCCACCACACAAGGATCCTCTTATATGAATGTCATCATGTGGCCAGAGCCTGGGTGTATAATTAATAGATTTGTATCTAAAACATTTGACTTGTAGGAGGGAGACAATATGGAGTTCTGTTAAAGATACATTTCCTACTACTATATTACCAAATTTGGAAATTCACATTGATGAAACCTTTTTAAGTATAAAAATTTTTTTAATAAAATGCCAAATCCTTTTCTTTCCTCTTTCCCTTTCTCTTTTGTTTCTTGTAATTTGACTATTTTTCTCTTACAGCATGTACAGAAGCATATTCCCAATCTGATGAGCAATATGCTTGCCATCTTGGTTGCCAGAATCAGCTGCCATTCGCTGAACTGAGACAAGAACAAGTACGAAACAATACTGCCTTTCAAACTAGCCTGCTTAGATGGCACTGACTTGTATTGCTTGAAGTGTTTATCACCCACTTGATCCTATTTTAGTGTTATATTTTATATTTGGCTTTCAGCAAACAAAATTAGTTTGCAAATAGAAAAGTCAGTTGAATAATTGCTTTTGTATAATGCTTTACTATTAAAAGTTATGCTTACGTTCATAATCTTATTTTGTTTCTTCTCACATTCCAGTGAAGATATTATCCTCATTTTACATATGAAAAAACCAAGGCTCAGAGGAATTATTTCAGAGTTCTTTTTCTCCATCCCAACTCCCATTGGACAGTTGCCATTGCCTTAACTCAGATAATCATTTCTTGTCTGTATTTTTAAATTAACTTCCAAACTGTTTTTCTAATTTAACCCTGTCTAACTCCATCCTTTGCTGTGTCCAGATTTTTTTTTCTAAATTTCATCATGCCATTCTCCTGTCTTATATAATCAGTAGCTCCCAATTACATATAGATTTAAGTCCAAACTGTTTATCACAACCTACTCCTGATTACTGCTCCAATGCCATCTCTTAAAATTCCTGACAAGGGAATTTCATACTCTATTCTCCAGACATACTGGGAAAAGTTTCTTAATTTTATTGATTTTTGCACAGGAAATAGTCACATGTACAAACTCAAAAGATAAAAAGAGTATACATATAGTGAAAAGTCTCCCACTCCTGTCTCTTAGCCACTCAGTTTTCCCTCTTGAATGTAGCCAAGGTTACTAATGCATAGATATGTTATGCGTATACAAGGATGTACACATATATTTTGTAAATATAAGTATACATAAAGAGCTTCTACTAATTTTTTTCTACTACATAATATTCTGTGTAGATATATTATAATTTTTTAGGCAGTCCCTTATTTGTGAACATGTAGGTTGTTCCTAATCTTTTTCTTTTGTAAATGATACCTATTTTGCACATTTGTGAGTATACCTGTAGAATAAAATCATAGGGCTAGAATTGCTGAGTTAAGAGGTATATGCATTTTTTATTTTTATGTTTTTTAGAGATGAGGATCTCACTATATTACCCAGGCTGGCCTCAAGCTTCTGGGCCCAAGTGCTACCATAGATACCACTGCACTCCAGCCTGGGTGACAGAGCGAGACACTGTCTCAAAAAAAAAAAAAAAAAACAGATGAAAAAAGAAACAAAGCAGAACCAAAGCTATCCCTAGAGTTTAGTAAATGGCATCCCACACTTGTGCTTTAGAGAGGCCCAGTGCTGCTAAAGAAGTCAAGAAATCAGAATTGGAGGAAAGATGATATCATTTGTCAAAATCCTTTTTTTTTTTTTTTTTTTGTGATGGAGTCTCGCTCTGTCGCCAGGCTGGAGTGCAGTGGCATGATCTTGGCTCACGGCAACCTCTGCCTCCCTGGCTTAAGGGATTCTCCTGCCTCAGCCTCCTGAGTAGCTGGGACTACAGGCGTGCGCCACCACGCCTAGCTAATTTTTGTGTATTTTTAGTAGAGATCGGGTTTCACCATGTTGCCCAGGATGGTCTCCATCTCTTGACCTCGTGATCCACCCGCCTCAGCCTCCCAAAGTGCTGGGATTACCGGTGTGAGCCACCACGCTGGGCCATTAAAATCTTATCAGTAGCTTACTACATATATTCAGCCCATAAATACTCCCTTCACCCTGTCGTGTTGTCAGATGTCTACCATTTTATGTATATATTCTTCTGATTGATTTTTTCCGTTCTCTTTTCCATTGATGTTCATTATAGCATGATTTATTCTTGATGAAAGCATTAAAGATGAGAATGATACGATTTGTCCCTTCCCGTTCTACCCTTAAGGCCTTGCTGGTCCTTATTTAATTACATCTTAAGAGTCTTCTTATTTTTGGACTTAATTCAAAAGCCTGTTATTCTGATAGAGGTGACAGGTAGCTAGTAAGTGTGTTTGGTGGCAAATTAAAGTATCCTTGGTTTTTAAGCTTTACCATAATGTGCATAGATAACTAAGAGTTTACTCTAATGCTATTGATTATGGTAGATGTATTTAATTGTTTGTATCCTGTCCCAATAAGGATTGGAGTAATCTTGATTATATTGTTCTTTTGAATATACATATATAAAAATAATATATTTCTCATTATTTATTTTATTTTTAGCTTATGTCCCTGATGCCAAAAATGCACCTACTCTTTCCTCTAACTCTGGTGAGGTCATTCTGGAGTGACATGATGGACTCCGCACAGAGCTTCATAACCTCTTCATGGACTTTTTATCTTCAAGCCGATGACGGAAAAATAGTTATATTCCAGGTGACAACTGAGCTTCATGGATTCATCTAAATACTAACAACAGTAAATGTATATGTCTTAAATGAGTGTTTCAGCATAGAACCATACTCAGTCACTTACAAATATTTATCATCAAATAATAATTACTTATTTGGCCCTACATTAAAATATTAGACATCAGTTTTATTACCCTTCCCTTTGCCCGTTAGAAGCCTAATCTAAAGCCCATTAGTTTTTATGTAACCAGAACTCTTGAGTCTTTTAAATTTTATGGTGGTTAAATTGATAAAATGAAATTTTTAAATATGAGAGACAATAATTAATATACTTCGAACATAAATAGTGGCCATATATGATTACATATGGATATCAGATAAAAGCAATATGACATAATTTTTAGTTTTTTACAGTGCTTTTACTCATGACTCTAATAAGAGAACTTGTTGAAGAAGTATTTTGCCTAGAGAAGTAATGTCTCCTATCTCATCGTTTACCACATGATAATAACTGTTATTCCCTGGAGGTTATATTGTGCTAGATATATTCTCTCACATCTTCAAACAACTTTATGAGGTTGTATTATTCCTGTTTTATTATGAGGAAGGTGAGAGTAACTTGTTGCAGTTTCACGGCCAATAAGTAACAGAATTAAGCTTCAAACCCAGGGCACTTTAGCACCAAGGCCCATATACTACCCTACCATGCTTTTAATTCAGTAGTTGAATTCCTCAAATTTACCAGTCAACAGAGTTTATGTTGTGGCACTGTCTTCCTCTCAGGTAATAAAGTAAACCTTTTAAGTACTGTAGCTAAGTAAGTGGCTTAATGTATGGCTGGTATGTGATTTTTAGCACTCCCCTGAACCTTGGGTCCCCTCTACTTAATTTGGTAATAAGTAAAACACAGGAATTTTCTCTTTAAATTCATGAACAAGTTCTAGGTCCTAAAGCTACTTACCTCAAGGCATAAGTTGACTCTCAGAGTGAAGCCCTCATTCATTCCTCATTAGATAGGAGATTAGCTCTGTGTCTCTCTAAAGTCTGTGTGAATTTGAGCATAACTGGGATGCAGAAACCCCCATTCTAGAGGATCAGAACTATACACAAGATGTAAAAAGTATGGAGTGTTTGGCTGTAATTTATGGATTCCTCATACTTAGGGAAGAATATAATGTTTCATATGAGAATAAATAGAGATAATGTGTATTTAGCCAAAAGTTTTGGCAGTCTGATAAATTATTCCTGATCAACTAGAATTAGAACTCATTTCTGCAAGGTATAGTATTTAATGTAGTATGTCATGATTTGTCCCTCTCTCCCTTTAAAAAAAAAAAAAAACAAAACAAAACGTTGTCAGGAAGTTAAACTAACATAAATCTGCCAGAAATCTGTTTCTTTGCAAGGCACTGGCTCTGATGTTTAGGAAGTGCAATTAAAATATATTGTGGTTAATGTGTTTTATTTTTTATACAGTATTTCTGCTACTTTTTCTCAATTTAAATGTTTAAAGAGATGATTTGTTTTAGAACTTGTTACTGAAAAAAGCTAAAGAAGTACAAATGACTTAATTGCTTTCATTATTATTTTAGTCTAAGCCAGAAATCCAGTACGCACCACATTTGGAGCAGGAGCCTACAAATTTGAGAGAATCATCTCTAAGCAAAATGTCCTGTAAGTTTTATTTTAAGTAGCTTAGATAAAAACATTAGCAGTCAAATCTGGTTGTAGTAGAGTTGGTCATGTTTGTTTTTACACTGATGGAACATAAACAGATAATTTCTAAAACAGTGGTTCTCAAACTTTCATGTGTATTACAGTTTGGAGAGCTTGTTCAAACACAGATTGCTGGGCCCTACCTCCAGAGTTTCTAATTTACTAGGTCTGGGAGAAGATCTGAGAATTTGTATTTCTCACAAGTTCCAGATTTTGCTGATGCTGCTGGCCTGGGGGCCACACTTTGAAAATCACTATTCTAAAAACATTTAGTTTGCTTCAAAGGATGTTTTGAGCATGAACTAATCAAATATTCTGGTATTTCCCAATAAATTGATCAAATAATGAAAAATGCCAAAAGTGAGAGTCCCCATTCTATTTTTATTTCCATGTTAGAAGTGAATTTTGACTTATAAGAACATAAAACATCAAGCTAAAGCAGAACTCACCTTGTGAAATTTCCTCATACCTTATTTTAGATACTGATTTAATTAGCCTTCTAATTATTTTGGTGGGTGGGAGTGGGTAGATAATGATAGCACATAACATAAGACCATCTTTAACTTTAATTAGATTAGAATAAACCAAATCCAAGCTCACATGTAATTAAGCAGAAAGCATCAATGTCAATAAGAATTTGAAAATAAAACAGGAAACTCATAATGTGATAGAATATTCATTTGGTTTTGATGTGCTAGAGAAACTGGTACACATTATAAAATGTATCAGATGACACAAACAAAAACAATTGGATATCTGTAAAGTGTATATATCTAGAAGTAGTCATGTGAGACTAGCTTTTGGAATATAGGATATAATAAACTCATACTTACTATTTCAGCAGATCTGCAAATGAGAAATTCACAAGCGCACAGGAATTTTCTTGAAGATGGAGAAAGTGATGGCTTTTTAAGATGCCTCTCTCTGTATGTATTCCTCTTTATTATGTGTATAACAGATAAAATCTGGCTTGTATCAGAGAGATATATTACTTTTTATTATTTTAAAATTAGCACCTCAAAAGTAAACCTTTTTACTTGTTCCTTTCCAAAGTTGTACATTAGATATTTTAGTTTGTTTAAAAGGTTGTAGGCATACTACTTGAATAAAACCCAGGCAGGTAGTTTTTTTCACAGTACAAGAGCATTTTTCTTGTTAGAATCTCTTGATTTATGTTGAATGTGCTTCTCCACACATTTAAATTAAGCTTTAATTTAACATATGTCTGAGGCCGGGCACAGTGGCTCATGCCTGTAATCCCAGCACTTTAGGAGGCCAAGGCGGGTGGATCGCCTGAGGTCAGGAGTTCGAGACCAGCCTGGCCAACATGGCGACACCCCATCTCTACTGAAAATACAAAAATTAGCCGGGCGTGGTGGTGCATGCCTGTAATCCCAGCTACTTAGGAGGATGAGGCAGGAGAATCGTTTGAACCTGGAAGGCAGAGGTTGCAGTGAGCTGAGATCACGCCACAGCACTCCAGCCTAGGTAACAGAGTGAGACTCTGTCTCAAAAAATAAAATAAATAAAATAAGTATGTTTGAATGGTTTAGGGATCAGATTTTTGTTTTTGTTTTTATCTGCATGGCCAGATTTGACGCTAGAAGAGCTGGATAAAGACTCTAGATTAAGAAGGGCTTTGTATTCTATACTAAGGAATATCAGCTCTATGCCAAGAGTTTTTAAGGGTAATGGTAAAGTGGGCAAGTGAGAGTAGGGGTACCATATGCCCTCCTAGGAAAAAATATCAAGCCTTATGAGGGTGAGAGGCAGGTTTTATGAAAGTGTGCATGTTTCCTCTTCTCCAAGGAGTTCAGATATGGTCCCTCCCCCACATTTTACTCCTCCCCACCCCCAACAAAAAAAGGAAAAAGAGAAAGATAGTGGGCCATACCACTTATTGACTATCACCTACTCGGTGTCAGATACCAGGTCAAGCATTTCAGTGAGTGGTAAACAAGTTTCTGCTTTATAGTGTGTTCATTCTAGTGGACTGTTCTATCTCAAGTATAAAACTGCAGTAGTCCAAATCACATGCTCCCTGTAATTTCTTATAGAAACAGTTTCTTGAGAGGTTTTATCATATATCATTACAATTATGTGGACCTTACAAATTAATACTTTTTACTAAGCAAAATGTTTAAAGACTATGTGAGAAAACAAGGATTAAACTTTAAATTTTATCCTTCGTTCATTTCTAAACCTGGTTTTGAGCTTGTCCAAAAAAGGGCAGTTTTTCTTTCCAGTATTTAGGATGTATGTTGCAGTTTGATAGTTCTGTGAAACCTAAATAATTATTTAATCTTAAGTTACAGTTCTCAGTACTGTACTACCTGGCATATTATTGGTGATTTATTGACCTTTAACATTTTGTCATTATATGTTATGTTGTTTTTTTACATCTAACACTTTAAAAGTAATTTTGTGAAGCAACTAACTTTATAATGTATTTATAGAAATGTATTTCTTAGAAGTTTCTGTGCCCAAACATAAATTATAATAGGATCCTACATTTGAATAAAAATTATTCTTTTGGCCGAGTGCGGTGGCTCATGCATGTAATCCCAGCACTTTGGAAGGCCAAGGTGGGAGGATCACTTGAGCCCAGAAGTTCAAGATCAGCTTGGGTAACATAGTGAGACCCCATCCATCTCTACAAAAAATAAAAAAATTAGCTGGACATGGTGGCACACACCTGTAGTCCCAGTTGTCAAGAGGCTGAGGTGGGAGAATCACTTGAACCCAGGAGGTTGAGACTGCAGTGAGCTGTGATCGTGCCATTGCACTGCCTGAGTGACAAAGCGAGACTGTCTCAAATTTTATTATTTTTTTAAGTGTTCTTTTTTTAAATGCTTTTTCCCCTTCAGTGATCCCATTTGACTTTTAGAACAATACCCTGTGATAAGTAGGTGGTGATTTAGAGAGGTGAATTGACTACTCGCAAGGTTATACAGTCACTATGTTAGCATTCAAACCTAATTTTTCTAACTGTACATCTTCTGCTCATCCTATTCTGCTGTAACTATTTACTTCCTAAAGTGTCATGATTTTTCCATGATTACATACAGAATCACTCAGCCAGTTATTGGAATCTGGTCGTAGCTGTTAAAGAGACACCCTTGTCTCCAGAATGGAAATTGAGGTCACTCTTTCTTCACTTGCATTTCTTTTTGAGGAGCCAGGCACTGTGCTAGGGAGTTGAGACCTAGTAAAGATGTCAGGAGTTCTCAGATCTAAACAGACATGGACAATAATGATTGCTATACACACACACAGTCCTACACATGTCTCATACACAGCATATAAGGACTGTATTTAAGTCTACTGGAGGTTTCAAGGGGAGGATTGACAGGTGAGATAGAAATATCTCAAGTGATGAGTAGAAATTTTTGCTAGTTATAGCAGAAGATTTACTTAAAATTTTTTTTTCAGATATACTGGCCTCCTGCTCAATGTGTATAGGGTACATTACTATATATGGAGGATAAGGAGAGTCAGAAATTTGACTGAACTGGGAAAACAGGAATAGAGAGAATCAGGAACATAAGTGTCAAGAAGAGGCTTCTATGTGAAGGATAGATTAGAGGACCAGGTTGGAGAACTTTGGTAAATCAGGGAAGAAATTATGAGGTCTGGATTAGGGCAGTAGATAAGAACAGGAGATAATGGAGATAGTTGAAAATCTGTAGGATCTAGTCATTGTTTTGTTGTGGAGATTGAAGGGATGAGCCCCAGTTTTCTGGCTTAGGTAGTTGCTACTGGAATCTAGATATCAAATATATCCTCATTTTGTGGTAAATTCCTTAGTACTCAGGTTACTTAGGGCTGGAACATGGAGAGGAAAGTGGGTATTTGTTCATTAAAAACATATTTTACTCTATTATCTTTCTAAATTGGATACTTAAAGAATCATATGGGAGTTCCCTGCTTTTAGATACAATACATTCTCCAAAGTCCACCTCTTTTGCTGGCAGACAAACAATGACTGTGCTTACTGCATGTTCAAGTCTTGGCAAACTATCAAGTGAGTGATTAGGGTGGTAAGTATAGATCTCTTACTAGGCAGTGTTGGATGAGCAGAGATGTGAAAATTAGGGAGTATCTGTATTACACAGTTTGTCAGAGTTAGACTTTTAATTATTTAAAAATGGCTTGACTTTTTCCTATTCTTTGAATCTTAATAGGTCAATTATGAAAAAAACTCCAGGTGGGAGAATGGCTTGCGCCCATGAGTTCAAGGCCAGCCTGGGCAATATAGTGAGAGCTTGTCTCTATAAAAATTCAAAATAAATAAAAATAAATAAAAAATCTCTAATTGCTGATTCTCATAACTGGCCTTCTGTCTTAAGATATTTTAATTATAAGGAAAATATAACTATCTCTTTACTGAGATATGCTGTAATGGTTACAGAATGCCTTATAATAGCTGTGCTTTTTTAAATTGAAGTATAAGTAAATTATGGCAAATTGAATATGTAAAGTATTCTAGGGAAACTGACTTCTGGAAGCCTGGTGTGAATTCTTTTATAAAACAAATGATCATTTTAAATTTACCTATTCTATACCTTAACTTTTTGGTATATTGGTTTTCTTAAAGCAAGTATCGTAATAACTTGCAAAATAATATATGACATTTGTACAACAGTGTACAATTTACAGGACACTTTCACTTGCCTTATATATTTAGCAGAAAGTCAAGTATATCTGATTTTATTATTATTACAAAAGTGATATAGCCATGTTACAGAAACATTAGAAGTGGAGGAAAAAGACTTTATGCCAACCTAATGTAATAGCTATTAGTATAATATTTCCTTCTGTAAGTATGTTTTTTAATAGTTTCAAAGATAACCAACAAAGTTTTAATTGTACTGTTGAGCTAAGTACATAAGGTTGACTAATTAAGAATTTCCTGTTTCTTATAAAATTTTAATATAACTAATTGTTGATTTTTTTTTTCCAGTAACTCTGGGTGGATTTTAACTACAACTCTTGTCCTCTCGGTGATGGTATTGCTTTGGATTTGTTGTGCAACTGTTGCTACAGCTGTGGAGCAGTATGTTCCCTCTGAGGTAAATTTAATTCTTACCATTTGAAGACTGAGCCCTGTGATATATCATTTTAAACACCTTATTTGTTTAGCTGGAAAAACAAGGCCTTTCTACTAATAGAAAGAGAGAAGATGTGGTGGTTTTAATGTGGTAGAGGTTGGCACACATAAAAATTACAGGTTTGCAGCACAAGAATTGTTGTTCTCAGCTTTCTGTGATGCTAACTACCGTGGTGACATATATGTTGACTGGCTTGAGAACGGTGTCTCTTTCTGACTCTCTAAGACTGAAAAGACCTGTTGACATCAGTTTCTAGGGGATATATGGGAAAGAAGACTTTTTTTTTTTTTGAGGCAGAGTCTCATCTGTCACCCAGGCTAGAGTGCAGTGGCCAGGATCTTGGCTCACTGCAACCTCTGCTTCCTAGGTTCAAGTGATTCTTCCTCAGCCTCCCGAGTAGCTGGGACTACAAGCATGCGCCACCATGTCCAGCTAATTTTTGTATATTCAGTAGAAATGGAGTTTCACCATATTGACCAGTCTGGTCCTGAACTCCTGATCTCAAGTGACCTGCCCACCTCTGCCTCCCAAAGTGTTGGGATTACAGGCGTGAGCCACCATACCCAGCCAGAGAGAAGACTTGTAGAACCACTTAATAGTTTAAATTAATTACCACAATATTAAGGATCAGTGCTGCTTTAGAAGCAGCAAGGCTGGGCCAGGTGTGGTGCTCATGCCTCTCTAATCCCAGCACTTTGGGAAGCCTAGGCAGGAGGATCACTTGAGCTCAAGAATTTGAGACCAGCCTGGGCAACATGATGAGATCCTGTCTCTATGAAAAATTATAAAAATTATCTGGGTATGGTGGTGCGTGCCCGTGATCCCAGCTACTTAGGAGGCTGAGGTGGGAGGATCACTTGAGCCCAGGAGGTTGAGGCTGCAGTGAGCCAGGATTGTGCCACTGTACTCCAGCCTGGTGACAGAACAAGACCCTGAGTCTCAAAAGAAAAGAAAAAAAAATGCTGGAGTGTTTGATTTTGAGTTGTTATATTCTGGTATCTAACCCCAAAAGAGATGGGAGACATTGTGACTTCCTTGGTAATTAAAATTTAACTGGCCCAAAAAATATAACTGTTAAGGTAAAGGATTTTTGTTTGGGGGAAAGGCTATAATTTAATTATTCAACTTAGCTTTCAAGAACAGAAAAGTATTTATATAACTAAATATAGAATAATAATGGCTGTCAACATCTAATCCAACTGAAATAAACTTTAGTTTTCTTATGCCTCCAAAGTACCATAGAAAAAGAGAAAAGACAGAAATTAGAATCTAATAATAAGCCATTGGCATGTGCCTAACATGGTGCCTGAACAACTGTCTTATCCTAATAGACTATAAAGATGTTTAAATATATGATTTGCACATGAAAAATGATTAAGATAATATTACACTTAATATTTTTATTAAGGTGATATAATTGATGTAGGTACCTGGAAACTGGGACAGGATAATGTTGATAACTAACATTTATATAGTCGTTAAAATTTACAAAGTATTTTCATGTATCTTCATATTCTTCCCATCTAACTGAAATGTTGTGTCCTTTAACCAACATCTCCTCAGTCTCCTACCTCCCTTCAGTGGCTTCTTTCATGTTGATGTATAAAATCAAACAGTTCCTGGTTGCTGCTTCAAGATCTTTAAATATTGTTAGGTAGAGTTGTGAACATTTTTCTTTCACAGTGCCCCAGAGCCAACGGTCACATGTGAATTCTGAGTTTTATGGAGGCCTGCTATATCAGATCCATCAGATCCACGTCCAACCCATCAACCACTGAACTTTCTTTTTTCTTTTTTTAGACAGGGTCTCGCACTGTCGCTGAGGCTGGAGTGCAATGGCACGATCTCAGCTCACTGCAATCTCCACCTCCCGGGTTCAAGCGATTCTTGTGTCTCAGCCTGCCGAGTGGCTGGGACTACAAGCGCACACCACCACACCCAGCTTATTTTTGTATTTTTAGTAGAGATGGGGTTTCACCATGTTGGCCAGGTTGGTCTCGAACTCCTGACCTCAAGTGATTCGCCTGCCTTAGCCTCCCAAAGTGCTGGGATTACAGGTGTGAGCCACTGCGCCTGGCCTGAACTTGTCTTAAAGCTACTCTCATACTGGAAAAGCTTAAGGTACTGGGGCACCTCCTTGCAGGATAGTTGTTCCCCTGAGGCAACCGTCCAGTAGAACACATCTGAAACATGTGTGAGTAAGCAACTATCGTGACAATCACTTTTAGAACATTTTCATCAGCCCAGAAAGAAAATCTATACTCTTAGTAATTGCTCCCCATTTTCTCCCAAGCAGCAGCAGCTGCACCACCCCTACCCCCATCTCACCCTCCAGCCCTAGATAGCCAATATGTAGTCTCTTGTGACTGGCCTCTTTGACTAAGCATATTTTCAAGGTTCATCATGTTATAGCATGTATCACTTTATCACTTTTTTTTTTTTTTTTTTTTTTGAGATGGAGTCTTGCTCTATCGCCCAGGCTAGAGTGCAGTGGTGCGATCTCGGCTCACTGCAAACCTCTGCCTCTCGGGTTCAAGCGATTCTCCTACCTCGGCCTCCCTAGTAGCTGGGACTACAGGCATGCACCACCACACCCAGCTAATTTTTGTATTTTTAGTAGAGATGGGGTTTCACCATGTTGGCCAGACTGGTCTGGAACGCCTGACCTCAGGTGATCCACCTTCCTCAGCCTCCCAAAGTGCTGGGATTACAGGCTTGAGCCACCACGCCCAGCCAGGATAGCATGTATCACTTTTGATAAACTCTTGAAGGTGCTCTTTATTCAGCATCTTTTAAAAACACCTTTCCAGTATCGGGTACTTCTGTGGAGTTCTTGCTTTATAATCTAGTCAGTTGTCCTGCCAGTGATATCAGCACTTCAGTTTCTAACTTTTGGATACAGGGATTTGTTGCCGTATGAGTAGATTAACAACAGAATCTATACCATTTTTTTTTTTTTTTTTTTTTGTGAGACAGAGTCTCACTCTGTCCCCCAGGCTGGAGGGCAGTGTCGCGATCTCACCCCACTGCAATCTCTGCCTCCCGGGCTCAAGTGATTCTTGTGCCTCAACCTCCTGAGTAGCTGGAATTACAGGCATGTACCACCATGCCTGGCTAATTTTTTGTATTTTTAGTGGAGACCGGGTTTCACCATGTTAGCCAGGCTGGTCTCGAGCTCCTGACCTGAAGTGATCCGCCCGCCTCAGCCTCCCAAAATGCTGGGATTACAGGCATGAGCCACCGCACCCAGCCTATGCCGTTTCTTAGTGGAGACTTTTCACTTTGCTTTTCTGCCTTTAAGAGATACATACGGACAGGCCTAGTGGCTCACACATGTATCCCAACACTTTGGGAGGCCAAGGTAGGAGGATCACTTGAGGCCAGGAGTCTGAGACCAGCCTAGGCAACATAGCAAGACCCCATCATTTAAAAAAAAAAAAGAAAGAAAAAAAAAAGAAAGAAAGAAAAAAGAAAAATTAGCTGGGCATGGTGGTGCATGCCTATAGTCCTAGCTACTCAGGAGGCTGAGGCAGGAGAATCACTTGAGCCCAGGAGTTCAAGGCCTAGTAGTGAGCTATGATCACACCACTGCACTCCAGCCTGGGTAACAGAACAAGACCCCGTCTCTTTAAAAAAAAAAAAAAAAGAGACAGAGACATTCATACATATATCTAAGTCTACCTACTCTCAAAAGATGCTAGATATTACTATTATTCTCCAATGAGTTTTATGACATTTGCAGTGATTCTGTTTTATGCTTTCATTCTTTTAGTGTCTTCTTGTATATGGTATTAACAATTAAGGAACTTTATATATTTATGAAGACCCTTCTATCAGTGTGAGAGCATTTCATGCATATTCTTTGTTCTCGCAGCCTTTTCAAATAGCATCTATCATTTTCCATACATGTTAAGCTAAAACATTTAGGAGCAGAAAAACTTGCACCAAATTATTTTACCACTTGGTAGGAGAGCTAAGATGTTGAAGGACTTGATCACTTAAGGCATCCATAGCTGTTTTTCTTGATACCCAATTGTTATACTCCTGAGGATTTTAACTTGAGACGTGGAACAGCTTTCTTTGGCCATCCATTGGGAGCTGAATCACATATCTACAACACTTTGAGAAAAAGTATTCTTCTTTCTTAAAGTTGTTTATAGAATTTTTTTTACCAACTATTTATAAATTAAATTGTTATTTAAAGACTAACTTGGAGAGGTTCCTAATTATCCAGACTACTAATGTACATTGGTTTTCTTTTGCAGAAGCTGAGTATCTATGGTGACTTGGAGTTTATGAATGAACAAAAGCTAAACAGATATCCAGCTTCTTCTCTTGTGGTTGTTAGATCTAAAACTGAAGATCATGAAGAAGCAGGGCCTCTACCTACAAAAGTGAATCTTGCTCATTCTGAAATTTAAGCATTTTTCTTTTAAAAGACAAGTGTAATAGACATCTAAAATTCCACTCCTCATAGAGCTTTTAAAATGGTTTCATTGGATATAGGCCTTAAGAAATCACTATAAAATGCAAATAAAGTTACTCAAATCTGTGAAGACTGTATTTGCTATAACTTTATTGGTATTGTTTTTGTAGTAATTTAAGAGGTGGATGTTTGGGATTGTATTATTATTTTACTAATATCTGTAGCTATTTTGTTTTTTGCTTTGGTTATTGTTTTTTTCCCTTTTCTTAGCTATGAGCTGATCATTGCTCCTTCTCACCTCCTGCCATGATACTGTCAGTTACCTTAGTTAACAAGCTGAATATTTAGTAGAAATGATGCTTCTGCTCAGGAATGGCCCACAAATCTGTAATTTGAAATTTAGCAGGAAATGACCTTTAATGACACTACATTTTCAGGAACTGAAATCATTAAAATTTTATTTGAATAATTATGTGCTGAAATTTGAGTATCTGATTTTTCTAGACCTTCCCTCCTATTCCTGCCCAACCTAGATAAGAATTATGAAATGTTCTGTGTTTATTGCTATTGCTTTATAATGTGATGGTCAGGGACCATTTTGATGCAAAACTGATCTCTCAGCAGTACATTTGATGTTATTTTGCACAGGCTATAGGTTTTTGTTTGATGAGTGTTTCCAAAGAACTATTTTTCTCTGTTAGATAGCATATCAAGTATAAGGTAAACATATTTTCAGAGAAAACTTCATTTTAACACTAAAAATTAGACTCTTGTGATACAGAATTAAGTATAAATTTTACTTGGCAAAAACTCGTTTTATTTTTACCTGCAATAATACAGAGCTTAATATTAGAATGATATCAGGTCATAATAATAATACACCAGAATCTTTTGAGATGGAATTTTGCTCTTGTTGCTGAGGCTGGAGTGCAATGGTATGATCTTGGCTCACTACAACCTCCACCTCTGAGGTTCAAGCGATTCTCCTGCCTCAGCCTCCCGAGTAGCTGGGATTACAGGCATGCGCCACCACACCTGGATAATTTTGTATTTTTAGTAGAGACGGGGTTTCACCAGGTTGGCCAGGCTGGTCTCGAACTCCTGACCTCAGGTGATCCACCCACTTAGGCCTTCCAAAGTGCTGGGATTACAGGCGTGAGTGACTGTGCCCAGCCTACACCAGAATTCTAATATGATTCACTGTTATTATGCCATAAAATATTAAAAACTTTGTAAAACAATACTTTCCTCAGTCACAGGGGCATTGCTGACAACTGCATCAGTGCTGTTTGACTAAAGAATAAGTTAGTCACTCCTCCTATGGCCTAGTCTTTAGCCTTCCTGAGTCCAAATGAAAAGCAGTTAACAGCTAATCAAGGAAGACTTTGGTCACAAAGTGTAGGTTTTTATTTTTAGTTTGTCTAGATTTGGATGATAGAAAGTTGTGAACACATCCAGATGGGGAAGAAAGGAGGAATTAGCCGTCATTGTCAAGCAGTCATTGTTTCTTTCTTCTTTTTGTTAGAAAACATGGGATAAAACGTGGGGACTCAGCCAGGCACAGTGGCTCACGCCTGTAATCCCAGCACTTTGGGAGGCCAAAGCAGGAGGATCACTTGAGGTCAGGAGTTCGAGACCAACCTGGGCAACATAGCAAGACCCTCTCTGTACAAAAAAATACAAACAAACATGGGGACTATATAAAACATGGGTAGTGGATAGGAGTTACCATTAAAAAAAAATAAAAAGCCCTGTTGTTTCGTCTCCCATCATTAGTGCATACTTAGTTTCCTTAGTCAGGCACAGGTTTAATTGTAATGCATCCAATGAAGCAAACAGAGAAACACAAAATGCTGCTGTCTCACAGGAATCAAAGAGCCCACTGTTAGAAAAGACCCTCCCTTATAAAAACAAAACAAAGAATTATCTAGATCACTTGGGGCCAGGAGTTCAACACCATCCTGGGCAATATAATGAGAATCCCATCTTTTTTTTTTTTTTTAAAGCAACTGTACAGTTGTCCTATATTCTCCACCTTCCCTTGGTTTCATTTCTCTTCGCTTCCTGAATGAGAAGTGCCTGAGATACCTTCATTTCTCTTGAAAGTATTGATCCAAGTTTAGACAAATATCTCCCCTCTTGTTGAGAGAATTCCTTATATGTGAAAATACCAAGACATTCTTGATATTTAGCAGGCACTCAAATATTTGTCTCCTCTTTTTTAGCATAATTAAGCCAGACTGATGTTTGCATTTGAGTATCATCAGCATGAGTAACCATTTTAATCTCTCTTCCCTTAACTACTTGTTCTACACTAGAGTCTAGGGTCAGGGTACGTACAGTGATAAAGATTGAGATAATGGGAAATATAGTCTTCTGTTTGGGAAGCTGGATTGTAGTGTTGATTTTCTGACTCCTTGTGGTAATTAAATTCTGAAGCACAGAATCTACTTTTGAGAAGAAATATTTTACTTTTGAAAAAAAATCCCCAAAATATATACAGCATAAAAATGTTTCCGATCTTGAAAATCCCAACCAAAGCAACAAAACTGAGCTTCCAAGCCCCTTCTCCTAAAGTAACAGTTTTGCCCTTCTTGGATGTGCCTAACTTTACTTAGCTCCTTGTTTCCATAAAACAGTCATAATCTTATTTCCTACCACACAGAAAGCATCTTGAGAATCTGGTCTTGGTCCTAGGCAAATTCTCAAGACCGTTGGGTCTCTGGTTCAAACCTCCCAGACTTCTAAGGTCTTTCTTGGCTCAGGTCCCTCATCTAAGAGACATGCTAATTCAGGCAATTACAAAAGCAGTACTAATCACCATAATGAATGATCTGGGCCTAGGTTCCAAGTTTTCTCACAAAACTTCATGGGCACCTTTCATTTGTGATATGTTTTGTAGTAAATCAGAAATTACTAGATGATCTGGTCAATCTTATCTCAGAAATCCCTGTGGTGCATCATGAGGCAATCTGAGCTGCTGATCAGCAGAAAACCCTGCACTGTCTGAGCTTATCTTCCAGCCAAAGGCAAACAATTTACCCTTTGTTATTAGTCTGTCTGGATTTGTCTTAGATAAATGAGCCATTTTTGTTACAAGTTTTTTAAAGATATACAGTAGTTCCATTATAATTTTTGTGGACTCAAATATCAAGTCCACATGTAGGGAATCATTGACAGAGATTTCCAGTTACTGTCACCACCACACCAAGGCAGTAATTTTGCTCAGTTCTGCCTTTATAGATCCACAATTTAACCATTCAACAACCACCTGAGATCCTGAGTGGCAGGCCCTATGCTAAATGCTAGGACCACAGTAAGACCCAGTGCCTGACCCCAATTGCTGAGACTCTGAAGGAGACTATTATTAATGTGATAAGTGCTATGACCAAGCACAGAGCACATAGGAGGAGCTGTATGCATTATGGGAGCACACAGGAGGACTTCTGGGAGAAAGTGATAGCCAAGCTTAAACCTGGAGAAAAAGGGAACGCCAAACACAATATAGAGAGCAGTGTACCAGACAGTGGGGACACTGTGCTCAAAGACCTAGAGGCCAGAGGGTGAGGCACTGCAGATTGTTGAGTAGGCCGAGATAGAGCATACAAAAGCATAACAAAAGATGGGGCTAGGCAGACCAGGTAATAAACCTGCACTTTAAACCTGCACTTGATCCTGAGCACAGTAGAGAGCCACTGAAAGATTTTAAGCAAGAGAGTGCCATACAGTGTTGGAATGATTCACTCGGACAGCAATGTGGAAGATAGACCAGAAAGGGCAAGTCCAGAGGCCAACAATAATCTTAGCCTCAGAGTTCTTTTTTTAATACCCAAGAATACTATTTCATTTTACTTATATTTTTAAACTTTTCTCTATAACGCTCTCTCTGCTCCCCCACATTGTTGTCTGGATGGTAAACCTAGGACTGGTCTCTGAGTCCTGGTCACAGCCTGGCAACAGAATGTTTGAGCAAACTGGGAAGGCTGCCCCATGGATCCCTGGTTTCTTATCACCATCCTCTTAATTCTACGTTTGCCAACCAGTCTCTAGGAAGCCAGCGTGCTCTTGCGCCCCTCCCACCAGGTTTCCAGTTGCTAAGCGTGTCATGTTTGCATTTGGGTATCATCTGCATGAGTGACCATTTTAATCTCTCTTTCCTTGACTACTTGTTCTACACTAGAGTCTAGGGTGGGGGTGAGTACAGTGGTAAAGACAGGGATAGCGGGAAATTTAGTCTTCTGTTTAGGAAGCTGGATGGTAGTGTGGATTTTCTAACTCCTTGTGGTAATTAAATTCTGGAGCACAGTTTTTAGACCTTTTCTGAAATCTGTTACTGTTGAAGTCAGCTTCATATATTTCACTTTTTTTTTTTTTGAGACAGAGTCTCACACTGTTACTCAGGCTGGAGTGCACTGGTACAATCTTGACTCACTGCAACCTCCACAGCTCCCAGGTTCAAGCGATTCTCGTGCCTCAGCCTCCCAAGTAGCTGGTACTACAGGCGCGTGCCACCATGCTTGGCTAATTTTTGTATTTCTAGTAAAGATGGGGTTTTGCCATGTTGCCCAGGCTGGTCTCGAACTCCTGGCCTCAGGTAATCTGCCCGCCTCAGCCTCCCAAAGTGTTTGGATTGCAGGCATGAGCCACTGCACCCACCCTATTTCACTATTAAGTACTCTCTTCCTGTGATATTAATGACTTATTTGTTTCAAACTTTTTTGTGCCATTGAGCTTTTTAGTGATCCAGTGAAGCCTGTGGACCCCCTCTCATAGTAATGTTTTCAAAGCATAAAACTAAATATAAAGGATCGCAAAGGAAACTGATCATGTTAAAATAAAGTTGATATTTTCAAAGTTTTATGATCCAGTAACATACATATTCTGTTAACACAAAATAAGACTGCATGGTGGTTCTAAAATTACTATAATTCAAATTCATATCTTGAAATATCTAACAACTGTAATATATCTAAATGTCTCATTTCTATTGGTGACAAAGTCACAGGTACTCTGATCCTACTGTGGACTGTTTCCTATATTCGTAATTGAAGGAAATGTTATATTTCAGTTAGAAGTTGGTGAAAAGAAAGATTTAAAATTTTTCCCATCCAAGTTCACCAGACCCCTGGTTTAGAGGTTGTCTTAATTTTACTTTTGTCATTTTAAGAGTAAATTATTTTGTTTTCTTGTTCAATTCTCAATTATTTGGGCTTATTTTACTGCCTCTTGCATGCTTTTTTATGCTTGAATGGTTTTTGCAGTGTTAGAACAGTAATAATTGAAGACTTGGGTGGAAAAAAATCAGCACCTGATTGAAAATGAAAGGTTTCAACAAAAGCTCTTGATAATGTTACCTCCAGGTGTACCATCATGCCACCATTATTGGTGCTACAAATCTGTTAATTTATTTATGCTTAAGTATGTAAACTTTAATAAAACTTGGATCATCTGCATTAAAAAATAATGCTATCTTGTAAAAGTGTCTACTTAGGTAATTCACAATGGGGTGGGTTTGTTGATTCCCCATGACATTTGCAAAGCCCTTTGTAGCACTCTCACCTATCACCTTAAATGGATTCTTATAACATCCATCTAGTGGATTAAAGACTTAAATATAAAACCCAAAACTACAAAAACCCTGGAAGACAACCTTCAGAATGGGAGAAAATATTTGCAAACTATGCATCTGACAAAGGTCTAATATCTAGCATCTATAAGGAACTTAAACAAATTTACAAGAAAAAAACAACCCCATTAAAAAGTGGGCAATGGGCATGAACAGACACTTCTCAAAAGAATATATACATGCTTCCAACAAGCATATGAATAAAAGCTCAACATCACTGATCAAAATATTTGCAAACTATGCATCTGACAAAGGTCTAATATCTAGCATCTATAAGGAACTAAATTTACAAGAAAAAACAACCCCATTAAAAAGTAGGCAATGGGCCGGGCGCGGTGGCTCACGCCTGTAATCCCAGCACTTTGGGAGGCCGAGGCGGGTGGATCATGAGGTCAGGAGATCGAGACCATCCTGGCTAACAAGGTGAAACCCCGTCTCTACTAAAAATACAAAAAATTAGCCGGGCGCGGTGGCGGGCGCCTGTAGTCCCAGCTACTGGGGAGGCTGAGGCAGGAGAATGGCGTGAACCCGGGAAGCGGAGCTTGCAGTGAGCCGAGATTGCGCCACTGCAGTCCGCAGTCCGGCCTGGGCGACAGAGCGAGACTCCGTCTCAAAAAAAAAAAAAAAAAAAAAAAAAAAAAAAAAAAAAAAAAAAGTAGGCAATGGGCATGAACAGACACTTCTTAAAAGAATATATACTTGCCACCAACAAGCATATGAATAAAAGCTCAACATCACTGATCAGTAGAGAAGTGCAAATCAAAACCACAGGCCGGGCACAGTGGCTCATGCCTGTAATCCCAGCACTTTGGGAGGCCGAGGCGGGAGGATCACGAGGTTGGGAGATCAAGACTATGGCCAACATGGTGAAACTCCATCTCTACTAACATACAAAAAACAAAAAAAAGAAAAATTAGCCAGATGTGGTGATGTGTGCCTGTAGTCCCAGCTACTCAGGATGCTAAGGCAGGGGAATCGCTTGAACCAGGGAGGCAGAGGTTGCAGTGAGCTGAGATCATGCCACTGCACTCCAACCTGGTGAGAGAGCGAGACTCTGTCTCAAAAAAAAAAAAAAAAACCCACAATGAGTTACCATCTCACACCAGTCAGAATGACTGTTATTAAAAGGTCAAAAAAATAACAAATGCTGGTGAGGTTGTGGAGAAAAAGGAATACTTATGCACTATTGGTGGGAGTGTAAATTAGTTCAACTATTGTTGGAGACAATGTGGAAGACAACCATTGTGGAAGAGAGTGTCTTCCTTGAAGACCTAAAATGCTAAAGTCAGAGACACCATTCAACCCAGCAATCCCATTACTGGGTATATACCCAAAGGAATATAAATCGTTCTATTATAAAGACACATGCACACATATGTTCACTGCAGCACTATTGAGAATAGCAAAGACATGGAATCAATCCAAATGCCCATCAGTGATAGACTGGAAAAAGAAAATGTGGTACATATACACCATGGAATACTATGCAGCCATAAAAAGAACAAGATCATGCCCTTTGCAGGGACATGGATGGAGCTGGAGGCCATTATCCTTAGCAAACTAACAGAGACAGAAAACCAAACACCACATGTTCTCACTTATAAGTGAGAGCTAAATGATGAACACATGGACACATAGAGGGGAGCAACACACACTGGGGCCAATTGTAGGTGGAGGGTGGGAGGAGGGAGAGGATCAAAAAAAATAACTAATACCTGGGTGATGAAATAATCGGTACAACAAACCCCCATGACACATGTTTACCTATGTAACAAACGTGCATATCCTGCACATGTATCCCTGCACTTAAAAGTAAAAAAAAAAAAAATCCATCTTGGAAAACAGGATGGGGTTTAACATGTATATTGTACAGTTGAGTAAACAGAGAGGGGAGGCAGCCAGCCAGGATCCCAGAGTTGTGGGAGGGATAGGGAAGGAGTGATCTATGCTGAAGCAGAGACTGGGCCTCACCAATAGGCAGGTCTAGAAGCAGATCTCGCAGGTCCCTAGGTCAATCTCCATAATTGGAAACAGACCAAGGCATCCAGAAACAATATTCCACCCTTAAAGGGTGCAGAGCACTCTTCTCATATGTGTACTCACTTCATTCCAGCCACCACTCTGAATTAAATATTCTTATCCCCATTTTTCAAATGAGGAAACTGATACTGAGAGAGTCTGCAGCTTGCCACCTTAAATTAGATAGGTCTCAATTTGGCAGAGTCAGGATGAAAACCCAGGTCTGTCTGACTCAAGCTGGGGTTTGCTGACCTCGTGTCCAGTGACTCTCCCTTAGCCACAGCCAGGCTAAGATGGAGACCCAGAGCATAAAGAATATAGGTATAGGCAAAGGCAAAGAAGGCTTCTGGCAAGAACGATGGATTTAGAAAGGTAGAAGGAGCCAGCAGAAGTCATCCTAAGAAGTGACAAGCCACAGACTGGGAGAGATATTTACAACCCATATAACAAATGATTCAAATCCATCATAAAGAAATTCATAAATCAATAAAGAAAAGACAAACCACCCATAGAAAAATGGGCAACAGATATGAAAAGGCAATTCACGAGGGAGGAAATCCACTTGTATATTTTAAAAGGAGCTGCATAACGACATAGGGTAGGGCGGTGCTTTTCCAAAGTAATGTGCTTTCGAATCTCCTGGGCATTTTGTCAATATGGAGATTCTGGTGTGGTAGGTCTGGGGAGCCCTGGGAATCTGCATCTCTAACCAGCTCCCAGGTGATGTGGGTGCTGCTGATCCGCTGGCCACACTTTTGAGTGGTGAGGATAAGAGTGAATTCAGCCAGCCAGGTCTGAATTCTGGCTCTGCCACTTTGTGGGTGTGAACCGTGGGCAAGTAACTTCATGTCTCTGTGCCTCAGTTTTCTCATGTGTAAAATGGAAATAATAGTCCCCATCTCCTATGGAGGACGAGATGAGTGAATATACATAAAGCATGTAGTATAGTATGTGACAAAAGTAAAGAACTCTATAAATGTTAGCAATTGGTAGTAGCAGTAGGACTAACTAGAGGAGTGAAAGTTAAACCACATACAATTCCACACCTACCAGACTGGCAGGTGTCAGGAAGTCTGGCAATTTCAAGAGCTGGTGAGACTGGGGAGACAGGAGCTCTCACATACTACTGATGGGAGTGCAAGGTCACTCCCTTTGCAGAGCAGTTTCACAAGATCTGGAGAAATTGAAGATGCTTCTACACTGATTCTAGGTGTATGTGTGTGTATGTGTGTGTGTGTGTAAAGAGCAGGAGAGATATGTACACTAGATGTGTGTGTGTGTGTGTAAAGAACAATAGAGATATGTACACTAAAATGATATTGATTTTTAAATTTTATCAATGTTTTTAAAAAGCCATAAAGGCAGCACTACGTATTTTTCATGCATATATACCCATATGTTAAAAATATACAAACCAGTTACCAAAGAATACATGCCATACTCAGGAAACTGATCAACTCTGGAAAGGGAGGAGAAGAAATACAACTGGGGAAAAAAACAGAGGCCCTCAATTGTGCTGTACTTAACAGAAAAAAATGTGAAGCAAAACTGATTACATGTTAACACTTGTTAACTCGGATTCGTGATTATTTGTTACATTATTCTTCCTACCTTTCCGTATTTCTTTTTTTTTTTTTTTTGAGACGGAGTCTTGCTCTGTCGCCCAGGCTGGAGTGCAGTGGCGCGATTTCAGTTCCCGAGTTCATGCCATTCTCCTGCCACAGCCTCTCGAGTAGCTGGGACTACAGGTGCCCGCCACCATGCCTGGCTAATTTTTTGTATTTTTTTAGTCCAGACGGGGTTTCAATGTGTTAGCCAGGATGGTCTCGATCTCCTGACCTTGTGATCCGCCCACCTCGGCCTTCCAAAGTGCTGGGATTACAGGCGTGAGCCACCGTGCCCAGCCCAGCCTCAATCTGAGCTCAGCTCAGAGAGGTTAAGTGACCCAGCCAAGATCACTCAGCTAGTGGTGAGACCATTTGGACTATCAGCTCCAAAACTTGTGCTCTTGCTAGAAGTTTACCCAGCCCTGGCCCAGGAGTCCTAGTCAAGGCCAAGGGCCCAGCAGGGTGGAGGTGGAGGTTGTTTACTACAGCCCAAGCCATTAGTGTTCATGATATAACTATCCCAACAACTGCCTTCCGCTAGGACAAGAACAGGCAGTGAAAGCCCCTGCCATCAGTTCTAACTAACCAGAAAGAGAGCAGACAGTAGAGAAGGAGGGGACAACGTGGGCCAAGCATCTGAACAGTGCCCTTCAGGAGCAACTGCTGGGACACGTGAGGTTGGCAGCCTGGGGCCTGTACCCTAGGCAAGAGAGACAGTGAGGCTGAAAATAATTGAGGCTGGGCTGGGCACGGTGGCTCACACCTGTAATCCCAGCACTTTGGGAGGCCGAGGTGGGCAAATCACGAGGTCAGGAGATCGAGACCATCCTGGCTAACACAGTGAAACCCTGTCTCTACTAAAAATACAAAAAATTAGCCGGGCGTGGTGGCAGGCACCTGTAGTCCCAGCTACTTGGGAAGCTGAGGCAGGAGAATGGCGTGAACCCAGGAGGCAGAGATGGCAGTGAGCGGAGATCGCGCCACTGCACTCCAGCCTGGGCAACAGAGTAAGACTCTGTCTCAAAAAAAAAAAAAATTGAGGCTGCACGTGCCAATGTCCCTGAGGCCATCTGCTGCTGTGGAAGGAGTGCTCGCTGTACTGGGACACTGACCACGGTATGGCCTTGCACAAGTCCCCTCTTCTTTCCGGACTTTAGATCCCCCTTCTGTAAAGTGAGGCCGTTGTTCTCTCTGAGCCTGAGGTCCCTTTGACTCTGCTGATCAAAGTTCTGAGTTTCCCTGAGGGACTCTGGCAGCCCTGTTTTCCACTCTTTCCAATTTCCTCCTCTAACCCTCATAATATGGGCACCGCCTTAAGCTGCTGCTAGAACTCTCCATCCACCACTCACCATTCTCCCTGCTTTATTTATTTATTTATTTATTTTGAGACAGAGTCTCACTCTGTCACCCAGGCTGGAGCGCAGTGGCACGATCTCGGCTTACTGCAACCTCTGCCTTCCGTTCGTTCAAGCGATTCTCCCATTTCAGCCTCCCAAGTAGCTGGGATTACAGGCGTGGGCCACCGTGCCTGGCTAATTTTTATATTTTTAGTAGAGACAGGGTTTCACCATGTTGGCCAGGCTGGTCTCGAACTCCTGATATCAACCGATCCACCCACTTTGGCCTCCCAAAGTCCTGGGATTACAGGTGCAAGCCACAGTGCCCAGCATCTCCCTGCTTTAGAATGAGACACATCTGAGGTTAAGCAAAAGAGGACTGCAAATCCTAAAGGCGGCGAGCCACTGATGGTATTTCACAGTTGTCAGGCTGGAGGAAATCAAAAAGTCTGATGGTACTAAGTGTTGACAGAGATGTGATCAACAGAAATTCTCATCCACAAGGGAGGGAGTGTGAATCAACTCTGCTTGGAGGCAAAACTGACCTGGGTTAAAATCTCTGCTCTGCTGTTTACCCACTGTGTGGCTTTGGCAAGTTACTTAACCTCTCTGAACCCAGTTTCTGCATCTGTCTAGTGGGTGTAATAATATTACCTATCTTTCAGAGTTGTTGTGAGGATCAAGGGAGAGGGCGTGTGTAAGGTGGCTGGTGTAGTGCCTGGAGCATAGTAGCTGCTCAATAAATAATATCTGCCTCCCTTCCATCCATGCCCTCCCCTTGAGAGTGAGACTGTGAATTGCAGGGGATATGATTCCAGGAAGTTCAAGGATTGAGGCACCAGGGCCTGTCCTTCATGTCACCAGGCCCCCTGCTGCCCTTCCCTCAAGGGTTCTTGGTGACAGCCTGAGCCCTGGAGAGACGCAGTGCTTTCAGCATAGTTGTATGTGGCTGTACCTGGACTCAGCAGATGAAAGGGCATTTCAAAGCCCCGGGGAGTCTTTTTATAAAGGAACACTTAAGAATCACGGAGTCAAGGAAGGCCAGAGGCTGAAGGGCATTAATATGTCCAGGAATGGCAAATGGTCATTGTCAGGCCTCTGAGCCCAAGCTAAGCCATCATATCCCCTGTGACCTGCACGTATACATCCAGATGACCGGTTCCTGCCTTAACTGATGACACTGTCTTGTGAAATTCCTTCTCCTGGCTCATCCTGGCTCAAAAGCTCCCCTACTGAGCACCTTGTGACCCCCACTCTGCCCGCCAGAGAACAACCCCCCTTTGACTGTAATTTTCCTTTATCTACCCAAATCCTATAAAACGGCCCCACCCTTATCTCCCTTCGCTGACTCTTTTCGGACTCAGCCCACCTGCACCCAGGTGAAATAAACAGCTTTATTGCTCACATAAATCCTGTTTGGTGGTCTCTTCACACGGATGCGAGTGAAAGCCATCATGTCTGATACCCCTCTCCACTCTTACACCCATGGCAGGCATCACTAGTCAATCACAGTTCTGACCTCAGAATCCTTCTGAGGCCCATGTTCCAGAGAGCCTTTTGCAATCAATTGCAGCTGACATGCCAGATAAAATCTAGTTAGTGTCTTTAGTAGGGACCATGGGTGCCCTGCCCATGCTATCAGCGCTTTCCATTTCAGGACATATTAGCTTAGCGTGCAGCTGCTAAGTTGCCATCACTGACATCTCCTTGCCTAAGGCAGCCCAGTGGTACAAGGAATTAACACCCTCTGGCTAGTCTCTTTTTTTTTGAGACGAAGTTTCGCTCTTATTGCCCAGGCTGGAGTGCAATGGCGCAATCTTGGCTCACTGCAACTTCTGCCTCCCAGGTTCAAGCAATTCTCCTGCCTCAGCCTCCTGAGTAGCTGGGATGACAGGCGCCTGCCACCATGCCCGGCTAATTTTTTGTATTTTTAGTAAAGACGGGGTTTCACTATGTTGGCCAGGCTGGTCTTGAACTCCTGATCTCAGGTGATCCACCTGCCTCGGCCTCCCAAAGTGCTGGGATTACAGGCATGAGCCACCATGCCTGGCCTCCTCTGGCCATTCTCAACCAAGACTGGCAGGAGCTGGCAGATTATTACCCCAGTTCCCCTCACCTTGAGTGGGATAACTCTGAGGGGCATCTTCTCCCCTAGCTTCCCCGAGTGCCCCAGCAGGGCTAAATTCCACTTGCCCACAGCGGAAACCTGCTTCATAACACGACTGTTATCGGATCCTTCTCTTCCATGTCTCATTTCCCTCACCCCCCGACCAGCATTTCCTGGGATCACTCCCAATTAACTCTACTTGCCCTCAAATCTTGTCTTAGAGTCTGATTCTGGGGAACCTTAAACTAAAACACCCCCTTCATCTAGCTTATATCTTTATTTTCTGGATGAAGGAACTGAGGCGCAGGGAAGGGGAGTGAGTCACCCGTCAGAGCCAGTGGTAGGGCCCTAATGAGAGTCCTGTTCTCCCGGCCTAGGGCTCAGCTCTTCACAATGTTACTTGCTGCCTCCCAAGGGCTGCCCCTGTGTCTGTGCCTCCTACTTGCACCCACGTGGATTCATCATTTTATTTCCCAATGCAAAAGAAAAGGCTGATTGCAGGTTGGAAAATCTATGGGCATCAGAGGCAGGTGCAAGAACTCCTGAGCTCATTTCTGGAGGTAGACACCTCTCCTCCCTTGGTCCGGGTCCTTGGACCTGTCCCTCAAGATTCCAGGGCCTTGGTTTACTCAGCAGTGGGACAGGCTGCTAGGGAAACCCACTCACTGGGGACATAGAAGGGGTTGTTCACGCAAGCAACCAGCCCCCCGCCTCTTCCCTACCTCAGCACCACCTCAGGGGCAGTAAAAATTCACATTGCCACGTTTCTAAATGAAACAATTTAAAATTATATTTGCTTTATAATTTTAGTGGAAAATGCATATTCTTTCAATCTAGGTCACCTATGTAGTTGAACAGAAGAACATCAATGAGAAAATGACCCCTACTTTCTAGCCACCGAAACGTCAATTCTGGGAGTTTCTGCCTGCATCTTCATACCCCTGGAACCTGAGCTCCTCCGGTTCCATCTCTGATGTGGAGGAAAATGCACTTTCTGAAAAGTTTCTGGGTTTCACTCCTCCCATGCACTGTGAGACTTGGGGCAGTTTCTCCCTCTCTGAACCTCTGGCTCTTCATCTGTGGAATAGGGATGAGGATTCCAGCCTCGCAATGTTGCTGTCAGATGGCAGATGAGGGAATAGCCTGGCCGGAGAGGGGCCCTCCTGCCTTTGCCTCTGCTTGGAAGGCAGCTGACAGGGGCCTGCCCACAGGGAGGGTGTGGCCCGGGCAAGGCCTCCTGCTTGTCCCTCCTCCAGGTTGGCCTTGGTGACAATGCAGGGAACCCGTGCTGAGCTCTCTGCACACAGCCCCAGTCGGGCAGCAGGAAACCGAAGACATGAACAAGGTCTTCCCCCAGGTGAGAGCTGTCCCCAGGTGAGAGTTGTCTCCAAGTAAGAGCTGTCCCCAAGTGAGAGCTGTCCCCAGGTGAGAGCTGTCCCCAGGTAAGAGTTGTCTCCAAGTAAGAGCTGTCCCCAGGTAAGAGCCGCCCTGACCAGGCTCCTGATCTTGGGAGAGCAAACCTTGGGATGAGGAGTGGGCAGTAGAGAGTGGGCATACATGGGAGACACGGAGGAAAATCAGCCCCCGTCCTGCCCCGGGGCTCACTCCCAGGGTGTAGGGGACCCTACCAATGACCCAGCAATACAGTCCAGGTGGCAAGTGCTGGTATGGAAACAGAGGAGCCAGGTGGACAGGAGGGAAGAGCGGCCAGTTTTACTGGGGAGGAGGGTATCAGGGAAAGCCTCACCCAGGAGTCGCTGCCCAAGCCGGTTTGAAGGATGAATATTTATCAGGTGGACAGCAGAGAAAAAGGCTTTCCAGGCAGAGGGCACAGTGCAGGCAAAGGTGTGGACATATGAAGCGGGCATGATGCATCTGGGGCGTGAGATGCTGGGGTGTGACGGACCCGTGGTTCTACCTAAGACTCTCTCAGTGACCCCTCTGAAAACCCTGTTGTCTGCCTCCCTGAGGCTGGAGCTCACCTCACCTAAGCCCACCCCTCACTCTGTTCTCTTGGGCAGGGAGAGAATGGCTACACTGCTGCTGAATCCAAAGCCCACCCTGGAGGGGAAGGTAAAGAACTGGAGGGCCTGGGGCCAGTGCCCTGTGGGGCTCCCTTGAAGCTGGCAGTTGGCGATAGAGACATGAGGAGGGTTCAAGGCTCCCACTGTCCCTCAGACCTCTGCCTCCATGTTAACGTTGTCTGCTCCCAGCTTCCTGGCCAGCCATGCTGACAGTCACTTGCTTAATAGGGTTATTCATTCTCTCCATGCACATGCATTCATTAAGCACCTACTGTGTGCTGCCTACCTCACAGGCACCAAACTGCATACAGTGCCCACCTGTAACACAGAGAAAAGAGCACCAGCGTCAAATTCTTGACTCAGTGGGTGACCTGGGCAATTCTCTTTAACTCTGATGGATAAAGTGACACATTTATTTAGCCCTACTATGTGCCACTGGCCCATGGTGTGACCAGGACAGTCCTCTTTACCCTTCTGAAAATAGAAGAAGGAAGAAACACACATGTACTGAGCTTTGCATATGCCCTGGCTTGGCCCACATTTGATCAATGACGAAACACACTCAGAGAGGTAGATTAAAATACCAGCTATAAAGAATCCATCCCCAGTTAGGTGCCTGGCACTGCATGATCTCTTTAATCCTCAGGACAGCTCTGAGACAGGGGCCCTGTTATGGGGCAATAACAGATGAGACAGCTGAAACTAAGAGAGGTTGAGTAACCAGGCCAAGGTCACACAGCAGGGAGGTTGGAGGGCCAGGGTTCAAATGTGAACTGAGGTCTCTCTGGTTACAAAGCCCCAGGGCTTTTGTTGCTCCGAGCTGGTGTTTGTTTATTTCTAAGTCCTGACTCATGATGGGCGGGGTTGTGGAAAGAATCACCTCCTTTTCCTCATCGGTACAGGGAGAGGACTGGCACCTAAGGGCTTTCTGGCTTTGAAGTGCAACAGCTTCACCTGGGCAGGAGCCTTGGTTCTGCGGGTTCTCCCATGGCCCCACCTTGTGCATGGTCTGTGCTGCACAAATATTTGAGGAGCTGCTTGGCTGATCAGGACACCTCTCCCTGCCCAGAGTCACGCTGCCTCCCTGGTTACCTGAGTTTACCCTGTTTGCTGATGGCCAAGGAGCCACCAACTAGGGCTGTAGGGATGACAGGTTTTAGATTTATGCTGCCTCTCCTGCTATTGTCTCCCCTCCCAATACACATCCATCTTGGAGTCCCACCACCCCAGGCCATTTGTGCTCCCCCACCTGCAACCACTGGGCCTTTACTCCTGCCACGCCCTCTGCCTGGAATGCCCTCTCTTTGCACCCTCCCCTTACCTGCCTGTGGAAATCCCATTCTGCTTCTGAGGACACTGCATCAGAAATGTGAATGGATTGGAAATAACCTGGACTGACCCATACTGGGGGCCTTCTCTTGCCTCCTGGACCCCCAGGTCGGCATATTCACAGAGTGTTCACAAAGCCCCAGGCCGGTGTGGTGGCTCACACCTGTAATCCCAGCACTTCGGGAGGCCAAGGTGGGCGGATCACCTGAGGTCAGGAGTTCAAGACCAGCCTGGCCAACATGGTGAAACCCGTCTCTACTAAAAATACAAAAATTAGCCAGGCATGGTGGCGGGCGCCTGTCATCCCAGCTACTCGGGAGGCTGAGGCAGGAGAATCGCTTGAACCCAGAAGGCAGAGGTTGCAGTGAGTTGAGATCATGCAACTGCACTTCAGCCTGGGCAATAGAGCAAGACTCCGCCTCAAAAAAAAAACAAAAAAAACAAAAAAAACAAAAGCCCCCACCACGTGCCTGGCTCTGGGCTGGGCCCTGGGGTCACAGGGATGAATCACACCTGCTCCTGCCCCTTTCTCTGAGGTACCTGTGGCCTGGGCACGTCAGTAGCTCCCACACCCCTTCAGGCATGTCCATGCCTTGCCTTCTAAGTGCAATAACAAGCTGCAGAGGGCAAGGACCAGGGCAAGCTGCACAGCAGGGCACCCAGGAGGTCCTCAGTAAAGCCTTCTTTTATTATTTTGTAAGCAGGGGAGAATTAAAGGAGAATTAAAGTACAGTTCTACAAGAGCAGGGACGTCCCCTATCACTGCTATCTCCATAGTGCTTAGAATAAGGCTCGGCACATGGTAAGTCCTCAATAAGCAATAACAGGCCAGACACAGTGGTGCACGCCTGTTGTCCCAGCATTTTGGGAGGTTGAGGCAGGAGGACTGCTTGAGCCTAGGACTTATAGGGTGCAGTGAACTAGATTGCACCATTGCACTGCAGCCTGGGCAACAGAGCCAGACCCTATCTCTAAAATATAAAAAATAATAATTAAAAAAAGCAATAATAATAGCTCATACTCAACACTTACTCTGTGCACATTAACTCAACAAATTCTAATCCTCTCAACAAAGTCTAAGGTAGCTATTATGGTACCCATTTTCCACATGAGGAAACTGAGGCACAGGGAAGTGAAGTGGCTTACTCAGTGTGGCCCAGGTAGGATGCGGTAGAGCTGGGATTCCAACCTGCATCCCAGCAGACTCCAGAATGGACAGTCAATTGGGATCGTGGAAAGGGCACGGGTTTTGGCATCAAACAGGTGTGGATTCACACGCCAGCTCCACCCAGGGTGACATGAATCTTTTCTTCCTGAGCCCTAGTTTCCTCATTGATAAAATAAAAGGTTGTTTTGAAAAATAAAGCACGCTTATGAAGGGCCTAATGGAGCTTCTGCCCCAAGGTGGGGGCTGGACATGCAGGCGTCCATCTCTCCCTGCGTCCTGAGGAAGTCTCCTGATGGCGGGTGGGAGGGGAGGGCTGTCCGCCTCTGCCATTCAGCCAGCTGTGGGCCCCTGGCCAGGGTGGCACCTAGTGGGGTGGGCCCACAGGCAGAACAAAGAGCATCAAGGAGGGCTTGGGAGCTGCTCCTCCAGGGAAGCCATCCCTGCTCTGCTCACCCTCGTGGGGGAGAGGCTGCTTGCAGCGGGCAGGGCGGAGAGGGAGCTCCCTGTTCCTAGCGCTGGCCCCCTATCACCACCACCCCCGGGCTTGTTTCCCCCCCACACAGCAGGCGGCGGCCACCTCTGCTGCTCACGTCGCGGGGCCTGCCTCTCTGCCTCTCTGCTGCTCCTCCTGGCAACTGTGGCGGCCCTCATCGCCTTGGTCACCATTCTTGGACTCCCATCATGCACCCCAGGTCAGGGCGGCCAAGAGAGGGTGGGTCAGACCCGGCGGGGAGGGCATGGGAGGGCACAGAGAGATGAGGGAGCCCCGACCTGCCTGGCTTCTCCACCAGGTGACTTTGGACTAATTCCTTAAGGTGCATGCACAGACACACACAGACACCTGCACACACACTGACTATACCTGTTTCTGAGCCTCCATTTGCACATCTGTGACATGATTATTGAGAGGACCCAGCTCTGATGTCACCTCCTCCAGGATGCCTTCCTAGACCCCCAGGATGGGTTACGAGCCTCTTCTCAGCCCCCCAGTCCCTACACTTCCTCTTCCCCTGGCCTGGCCACCCCGGGGTGGTGCTATCCAACTGTGTGCCCATCTCCACCACAGGGGACCGGGTGACATCCCATACATGCCTGCAGCCCCAGCTTCAGGGGTGAACAACCCCAACACAGTGCCTGCCTTCAAGGAGCTAATAACTGTTCCGAGAGCCGTCTAGACGTGAATACACATTACAGCGGGGTCCCTGGGAGCCCTGAGAGTCTAGCCCCATTGAGGAGTCAGGGTAGGAACAATGGGTATTAGTAGTGGGGGGATGCCAGGAAAAGCATCCCAGGCACAGGGAACAGCATGTGTGGAGCCCTGAGGGGTGGGAGGAAGCAGGAAGAGAAGAAGAGACTGCAAGAGGCCAGTGCACAGGAAGGGCTGGAGTGACAAGTGGGGCCCAGTGCCAAGGGCCTCACAGGCTGCACCGAGAAGGGAGGTCATAGTCCAGGAGCCACAGAAAGGGGATTAAGTTGGGGGCAAGTTGGGGGCAGGCTGATGTTTCTGAAGGATGGCTCTGCAGCCAGGCAGGGTGGGTATAGAGGGCTGAGGTGGGGGCGGGGGCTGAGATTCGCAGCGCTCCCCCTGCCCTGCAGGAACACAGACCCTGAGGTGGATGAATACATGAGCAGCTGCAGTCAAGAGCCTGTGTGCACATCTGTGTGTTTAGCGTGTCTATGAGTGTACGCAGCTGTGTATGCATGTTCATGTCTGTGTGTCAGTGCGTGTGTGCACATCTGTTGTCTGTGTATCTGTGAGTGTGCACATAGGTGCAGCAGTGTGTGTGTGAGCATGTGTTCATGTGTGTGTGCATCTGTGTGTGTCTGTGTCAACATGAGTGTCTCTGAGAGTTGCTCCCCCCCGCCGCCTCCCCCACACACACTAGCTGAGGCAGCCCAGGGACTGAGAGGTGGTTCACGCATGCACAAACACAAATGCACAAACTGGCTCCCATCCCCAATTATGCACACGTATACACATGTGGGGCCAAGGGGTTCCTCCTACCTTGTCCGTAGGTTTCTGCCTTTTAATTCTTTGGGGCAGCCCTAGGAGTGGGTATTCCTTTTCTCCTCCCATATGGGGGGCTAATGATGACGTGTCGCAGGGGTGTTTGGGGAACTATAGAATAAAGATATGAAAGTGCTTTGCAGTTGTGCCCAGATAGAAGGAATTATGACATATGGCCCTCCAGCCAGCCCAAATATATTGCTTCTGACACTCTAACCTGGTACCAGGAGCTCCACCATTAAAACCACTTCACTGAATTGAACATTGTCCTCAGAAGCTTCCCATGACACTGTAAATAAGTTTTCAATACAAGAGAGAACCATTACTAGTTCTGCACATTTTCTGTTCTATGTTTCTTCACAGAGATGCTTTCATTTAATCCCCACAACAGTCCCACGGGGTGTGTGCTATGATTCCCATGTTGCAAACAACCTGAGACTCAGGGTGGTCAGGTCATCTGCCCAAGATCAGGCAGCCGGCAGCGGGTACAGCTGGGGCTTGAACCCCATTGATGGCGCTGGGTCCATCCTCCCCACTGCCCCAGCCCCTCAGGCCAGCTCTAGGCGGAGTTCAGGTGAGGAAGGTTTGTCCTTGTGAGCACCACCCTTGACCCTCCAGGGCCTTTCCCTGCCCATTCAGGAGCCCAAGCTTGTATAACACTGACAAACAGGACAGGCTTCTTGTGCCATGACCAGAGGAGCTGCATTCCAGCCAGTGGGGTCTGTGATGGCGTTCGCACCTGTACCCACGGCGAGGACGAGGATGAGAGCTTGTGCCGTGAGTACCCGCTCGGTGCTGCCCCTCCCAGGGGTTCCCCCACACTCCGATGCTCTTGGCATCCATACTGAACACATCAGGCACCTTCAAGTCCCCATGGCTTTGATGCTCCAGTGCCTTCATCCAGGAACACCTGCCCCGACCTGGTCCCAGTCAGGGACACACATACATGCCCCCACTAAGGAATGCCTTCACCCTGTGCGTCTCCACTCCCAGAGAACCCGTATTCATCCCTCAAGGCAGAGTTCAAATGTTACCTCCTCCAGGAAGCCTTCCCTGACTCCCACACTAGGTTAAAGTGTCTCCTTTGGGCTTCCACAGTCCCTGTGATTCCCTGTGTCCCAGCCCTTGTCACACTGGTTGTCGCTCTTGATTGGCACATCTGCCACCCCCATCAGACTGTGAACTCCTCTGAGGCAGGCCCAGTCCGCTTGATATCGGGGCCCCAGTGCCTAGCACAGAGGGGTATTCAGAACGGCTTGCTGAATGAATGAGCGAATGAATGAATGGGAAGACCTGGCCCCAGACCTTAGACACACCTGAAGGTTCTCAGGAGAGAGGAGCCTGACCCCACAGGAGAGAGAGAGCCTGGAGAGGTGCAGTGGGTGGGGTGGGGGAGCTCATGGAGGGAGAGTCATTGCATCACAGACCCTCAGGACAAGAAGCAATCTCAAAAGCATCTAGTCCTTGCCCCAGCTCATCCCCAATCCCCTCTCTAGCAAGCCCAACCGAGGCCACCCAGCCTCTGCTTGCATCCCAGGGGATGCAAGGATTGGAAGGTTTTTCCATGGGAAGGTTTTCCTTGTCCCAGGCTTAGAGCTGCCTCCCAGAGTGGTTCCTCCCTGATTGGTTCCAACTCTGTCCTTCTGTCAACCCTGCCCCGATAGACCACACTTTAATTTCTGCCATGATGGTGGTGCTGCATGGATTTGAAGATTGCTCCCTTGCCCTCCATGAGGTTTCTCTTCTCTACGCCACATCCCCTTCTCCAGGTCACAGTCAGCCCCCTTGTGACCCAGTTCCTGGCCCTCCCCACTCCATCAATGCTCCACAGAATGAATATCAACTTCCCATGTCCCCGTCCCTGGACAGGCCTCAGAAACATCCTCAGCCCTTCTAGCTGGGTCTGGGCAGTCTAACGAACAGAATCTTGCTCCCTCCCTGCCCAAGGTTTTCTACCTCTAGTGATGTGGCCTGAGTTTGTGTGAATTTTTGATAGCCCTATCACACTGCTGCCTAACAGAACACACTTTCAAGAAAGGTGCTCTGACTCTGCCTTACAAGGTGTGTGAACCCTAGATCTTCCCCTGAGATCCGGGGCCCAACTGTAAGACTCCACATTTATTCCTGTGATGTTCCAGTTGGAAGAGGCTTCCTGGAGGTGATGGAACTTGAACCTGAACTTGAAAGAATGGTTTTGGATAGGTGTCAAGGAGGCTCTTTGTGGAGGGGGGCATAGTGTCAGCAGTGGTGTGGGGCAGGAACACACCAGAGCTGGGGAGGAACTGAGGAAGGGAGGGGCAGATCTCTGGGCCTCTGTCCAGCAACGGAGCTCTCCTCTCCCTCTGACTCCACCACCTCCCCAGGAAACCTTCTGCTTGCACCCTTCTGGGCTGGATGGGCACTGATCCTGAGTTTGGCCACTGCCAGGGTGGTCAATCCTCCTCCCGATAACCCTCAGACAGCTGTGGCCAGATGTGGACTTCTTCCTGCCTCCTCTGTACCTCTACAGGAGATGTGCCCCAGAGCCTCCCCCACTTCCTTGTGGCCCACTGTGGAGACCCGGCCTCCTGGATCTACTCAGACCAAAAATGTGATGGCACTAACAACTGCGGGGACTGTTCAGATGAACTGAGCCCAGGTAGGGGTCTGGGCACAGGCTGGGCTGGGGCTGGTGTCCAGGCAGCAGCCAGAGGGCAAAGGGTGAGCAGGGAATCTCTAGGGCTCCCCCTTGCATGCTTCCCTGCATCCTAGGAAGGAGTTTTCTACCCCTGCTTGAATACATCCTGTGATGGGGTACTCACTACCACTCCAAGTGACTTTTTCTGGAGGCTCATTCTTCTGCAGTGGGGAAGTCACCTTCAAAGGCACAGATGAGAAAACTGGGTCCCAGAAGGTGGTCATGCAAGGAGTACATACATGGCCCAGCTGGGATTTGAACCTGGGGTTCCCTTATCTCTGCACCTCCCAGTGACCCTGTGAGGAAAGCAGGGCAGGAATCACTGGCCCCAATTTGTATGTAAGTAAATGGAGGCTTTGAGAGGAGAAACTTAGTACAATGTGTGACAGGAAGGGAGCTCAGGTGTGAACCCAGGCCTCCTGATCCAAGTCCCGAGTCCTGTAGCTGCCCTAGAGTTTCCTCTCAATCTCTTCCCCAGTGGTCAATCAACAAACATGTTCTGAGCATTGGTGGGGTGCTCAGAACGCACCTGGTATCAGATTCAGGTGGGGGACATCAGGAATCAGGCATGTGTCCTACCCCCAGGACTCACATCATGCTGATGCCGAAAGGAGGTGCTGGGGACCTGGAGGAATCAAGGGAGATTTCTCAGAAGAGGTAGCATTCAAGAAGACCAAGAATAGACGGGTTTCAGTAGGTAGAGGCTGGGTGTGTGGGGAGGAATGCCGGAGGCCTGAGCAGAGGAGAGAAGGCTAGGAGCACCCTCAGGCAGTCATGGCAGGTGAGCATAGCTGGACTCAGGGTAAGGAAGGGCACCCATTCATATTGCAGTCTTTACCGTGTGCCTGGGACTTTGCCTGACATCCTTTGCTTGATAACAAGCTTGAGCACACTAGGAAACAGTTTCAGACAGGGTGAGGGAGGTCACATAGCCTGTGAGCTGTGGAGTCTAGATTCTCTCTGCCGCAGGAAAACTAGGAACACACTCAACTCACGTCAGATGGGTTGGGGCCATGGGGAGCTACGGCAGGTTTCAGAACTAGGGAGTGCCCTGGTGCACAGAGCGTTCCAGGACACAGCAACTGCTCTCCTGCTGGCTCTTGTCTCTGCAGTAACTGTGTGCCCACCCTGCGGCCCTGGGTGGTGGCGCTGTCCTTCAACCTTCTTCAAGTACTGCGACTGTATACCGAGGCATCTCTGCCGCGACCATGTACAGCACTGCTCCGACTGGTCCGATGAGTATGCCTGTCCCGGACCCTGAGTGGGCCACTCAGGCCAGCATGGAAGGCTGGCTGGAATGGCACTGATAACCCTTCACATGAAAATCAAATCCTAGCGCACAAGGGCAGGAAGCAGCCTTTGAAATGGGATCTACACATCATTTCTGAATAGGAATTTTCTCTCCTCCTTTCAAGTTGTTCAGCCTCTGCTTGAATGCTTCCAATGACCAGGAGCTCATTACCATGTTAGGTGGCTTCTAACAAAGATGATGTGGTGGAACCCCGTCTCTACCAAAAATACAAAAATTAGCCAGGCATGGCGGTGCACACCTATAGTCCCAGCTACTAGGGAGGCTGAGGTGGGAGGACTGTGTGAACCCAGGAGGTCAAGGCTGCAGTGAGCTGTGACCACACCACTGCACTCCAGCCTGAGCAACACAGTGAGACCCTGTCTCAAAAAAAAAATGAAACAAAACACAAACACAAACAAAGACGAAGGGAATCTGCTTCCATGATTTCATGCCTGTCTCTGGGGCCACACAGAGGAAATCTGCTAACTGCTCCAAGGCATACTTGTGGATCCTAATCTCGTCATCCCTTAGAGTGATGACATGTCTGGGGCTTAAATGACAAGCCGAGTTTAGCCTTCATGGATGGCACATACGTGAAACATATGCCACTTCCTACCCCTTTGGTACCTAAGGCAGATATACTGGGCTTGGATGCAACTTTAGCATCTTCCCCAGTTTAGTTAACCCAGCAGGCTCTACTGATTTAACCAAGTGACACAGCACATGAAACAGGATATCTGGCATCCTACCAGTGGGAAGCCACCCCAGGAAGCTCTGAGCTGTAGAATAGAAGATCTGGAGAAAGAGCAGCTTGAAGGGCTCCTCACCAGTCTTCTGTCTGTCCAACCTGCTCTCCACCCCAGCACTCCCCACCCTCCACTCTATGCCCAGCTGCCCGCCTAAACAGCCCAGTTTTCTGGAAGTAGGGACTATATTTTGATCCTGGAGCCTGAATGAGCTGCTTCTGTGCTTATCTTTCCAGCTTCACACCACCCAGGCAGGCAAGGATGAATATTTCCATTAGATGGATGAGAAAACTGAGGCCCAGAGAGGGCGATGACTTGTCCAGAATCATAGAGCAAAGTCAGCGCTGGAACTGGAACCCAAATACAGCCTATGGCACCCCAGCCCAGAAGGCTTTCCAGCTACCAGTGTGATTATACCTTGGCCAGGGCAGTCTCTGCGGGGTATTTTAAAAGTGAGCTTGTCAGGTGCACTGGCTCATGCCTATGATCCCAGCACTTTGGGACACTGAGGTGGAAGTGTCCCACTTGAGCCCAGGAGTTCGAGACCAGCCTGGGCAACATAGGGAGAACCTGTCTCTACAAAAAATAGGAAAAAAGTAGCTGGGTGGGGTGGTGCATGCTTGTAGTCCCAGCCACTCAGAAAGCTAAGATGGGAGGATCG
Source organism: Homo sapiens (assembly GCF_000001405.40). Classification (NCBI taxonomy): domain Eukaryota; kingdom Metazoa; phylum Chordata; class Mammalia; order Primates; family Hominidae; genus Homo; species Homo sapiens. The sequence continues at coordinate 54,007,544 of NC_000001.11, read as the reverse complement.
TTTGAGCCTGGGAGATTGAGGCTGCAATGAGGCATGATCATGCCACTGCACTCCAGCCTGGGCAACAAACCCTGTCTCAAAAAATTTCTTTTTAATAAAAATAAAATAAAACATGAGATTGAGGGTCAGCAAGTGTGACACCCATATTCTGAAAGAGAGACTTGGGATCTGCCTGATGGGAGGGCTCCTGTCGAGGGAGACAGACATATCCCCACTGAAAAATTAATAAAATTGGTTTTACATATCAGTTTTCTGAGTTTTGAAAACTCAAAATGGCAGCCATAAGAAGGAATGAGATCATGTCCTTTGCAGGGACATGGATGAAGCTGGAAGCCATCATCCTCAGCAAACTAACACAGGAACAGAAAACCAAACACCGCATGTTCTCACTCATAAGTGTAAGTTGAACAATGAGAACACATGGACACAGGGAGGGGAAAAACACACACTGGGGCCTGTCAGCAGTAGGGGGTGGGGGAGGGAGAGCATCAGGACAAATAGGGGCTTAAATCCTAGATGACAGGTTGATGGGTGCAGCAAACCACCATGGCACATGTATACCTATGTAACAAACCTGCACATGTATCCCGGAACTTAAAAAAAAATTTAAAAAGAAAACTGAAAATAGGCATCCGAGGGACTGGTGAGCTCTGGTTCATTTATTGCCTCATACGTTCGTTCACTCATCAGTCTCTGCAAACCTGCTTTGGACCAACCTGTGAGCCAGGAGCCAAGCCCCCAGAGAAGAGACCTGGATCCTAGCACACGAGGAGCTTAGGGTCATCTGGAGGAAGCACCTCACACCATGTAGGGAGGGCTGGGAATGCAGGAAATGCTGGGCTCAGGGGTCTGAGGAGGGGCCTTCCAGAGCCAGGACAATCACCTTTCTGACCTGGAACAACTGTGGAGTTGCTGGAACAGGATTCCTCAGGGATCTTGCCCAAGGGACTCAGTTTCTCTCCAACTGCAGTGCAAGCAGGAGCTGAGAGAGCCCTCGGGCATCCTTAGTTCTGACCCTGAACCAGAGGAGTCTTCCTTCCCAGACGAGGAGGACTTTGGGCTGGCTCTGGAGGCTAGAAGAATTTCCGAAGGTAAGAGTGGATGAAAAGGACATTCCAGGCTGAGGGGGCATGTGAACAAAGTCACAGAAGTGTGATCGTACAGCTCAGCCAGGCAATGTCCAACAGGCCAGAGAGGCCACAGTAGAGGGTGGGTGAGGAGCTAGGAGAAGAGGTGAAAGGGGTGAGCAGGGGACAGATCGTGGAGCGCTTAGCATGGCAGTGGGCTATCATCAAGGGCAATTTAGCCTGGAAACTGGATCTACCACAATCTTTATTTATGTATATATATTTTTAGAGACAGAGTCTTATTCTGTCACCCAGACTGAGTGCACTGGCATGATCATAGCTCACTGCAACCTCAAACTCCTGGGCTCAAATGATCCTCCTCCCCCAGCCTCCCAAGAAGTTGGGATTACAGGTGTGCCCCACCACGCTCAGCCTTTTTTTTTTCTTTTTTCTTTTTTTTCTTTTTTTCTTTTTCTAGAGATGAGAGTCTCACTATGTTGCCCAGGCTGGTCTTGAACTCTTGGCCTCAAGAGACGCTCCTGTCTTGGTTTCCCAAAGCTCTGGAATTACAGGCGTGAGCCAAGGTATCTCACCTAGCATGACCTTTCACTACAACAGCCCAGTAAAAAGAAGCCAAGGGCTTGGACCAAATGGGCAGAGAAAAGGGATGATCAAGGGCTATTTACTGGTAGAACTCATGGGTCTTCAGCCCTCCTATGGGTGGGGAACAGGGGACAGTAAGGTGGGGGATGAGAAAGATGGCGAGTCCAGGATGCCTGGGAAGGAGTGCGCTCTTGGCCTCCTGCCTTGGGCCATGCCTTCTCCAGCAGGATGCCAGTCTCAAGGGAAAAAGGGGGTTGAATTTGTCCTTGAGGGATAAGAAAGGTCCAGAGGTATTAGCCAGGCGTGGTGGTGGGCGCCTGTAGTCCCAGCTACTCGGGAGGCTGAGGCAGGAGAATGGCGTGAACCTAGGAGGCGGAGCTTGCAGTGAGCTGAGATCGCGCCACTGCACTCCAGCCTGGGCTACAGAGTGACTCCGTCTCAAAAAAAAAAACAAAAAAAAAGAAAGGTCCAGAGGTTTATTTCAGCACTCAAATGACATGTCCTGAGCACTGGCCACAGGAGGCCAGGCAAGATCAGAGCATGAGCCTATGTTTGCTCATACCAAGTCAGCCATGGCGGCTCAGGCGGCTGCAGAGCGTCCAGCTCCCCGCAGGGTCTGCTGCTGTGGCAGTTGGGCTTCTTTAGTGGGCAGCCTGGAGCGCCTTCTGGAAAAAAGCCCAGAGGCCCCAGCACTGTGGGCTACATATTAATTTACCCCACCCCCCACCCCCCAAACCATCCACAGGCCTCTGGGGCTTAAGATGCTTCATTAACAGAATAGGGAAACCAAATCTAAGACAGACTTGTCCACATCCACTCAGCATGTCAGTAGCTGGTCAAGGACTAAAAGCCAGGTACTTAGGTGCACACAGCTAGCATCTGCCAAGCGCTTACAATGAACCAGCACTATGGTAAGTAAGGGCTTTGCCTTTCATCCACACAACAACACTATGAGGTAGGTACTATTTTTAGAGGACCTAAAACCTCTCAGAGAGGCAAGGCAGCTTGTTGATGGTGTGTGACTGGTGGGGGACAGCGCCAGGAATGCCAACTCTGAAGTCTGGGCCCTTCCCATGTGATATGGTTTTGAGAGGTGACAGCATGCTGGCAGCCCTCGCTGCCCTCGCTTGCTCTCGGTGCCTCCTCGGCCTCCGCGCCCATTCTAGCCGTGCTTGAGGAGCCTTCAGCCTGCCGCTGCACCGTGGGAGCCCTTCTCTGGGCTGGCCGAGGCTGGAGCCGGCTCCCTCGGCTTGCGGGGAGGTGTGTAGGGAGAGGCGTGGGCAGGAACCGGGGCTGCGTGTGGCGCTTGCAGGTCAGCGCAAGTTCCGGGTGGGCGTGGGCTCGGCGGGCCGCACTCAGAGCGGCCAGCCAGCCCACAAGCCCGGGGCAGTGAGGGGCTTAGCACTTGGGCCAGTAGCTGCGGAGGATGCACTGGATTTCCCAGCAGTGCTGGCCCACTGGCGCTGTGCTCGATTTCTCGCCGGGCCTTAGCTGCCTCACCTCAGGGCAGGGCTCCGCACCTGCAGCCCGCCATGCCTGAGTCTCCCCCGCCACCTGCCGTGGGCTCCTGCGCGGCCTGAGTCTCCTGTACGAGTGCCAACCCCTGCTCCACGGCACCCAGTCCCATCAACCTGACCAAGGGCTGAGGAGTGTGCGCAGGGCGCAGGACTGGCACACAGCTCCACCCGCGGCCCGGTGCGGGATCCACTTGGTGAAGCCAGCTGGGCTCCTGAGTCTGCTGGGGACTTGGAGAATCTTTATCTCTAGCTAAGGGATTGTAAATACACCAATCAGCACTCTGTATCTAGCTCAAGGTTTGTAAACACACCAATCAGCACCCTGTGTCTAGCTCAGGGTTTGTGAATGCACCAATCCACACTCTGTATCTAGTTAATCTGGTGGGGACTTGGAGAACCTTTATGTCTAGCTAGGGGATTGTAAATACACCAATCAGCACTCTGTATCTAGCTCAAGGTTTGTAAACACACCAGTCAGCACCCTGTGTCTAGCTCAGGGTTTGTGAATGCACCAATCCACACTCTGTATCTAGCTAATCTAGTGGGGAGGTGGAGAACTTTTGTGTCTAGCTCAGGGATTGTAAACACACCAATCAGCACCCTGTCAAAACGGACCAATCAGCTCTCTGTAAAACAGACCAATCGGCTCTCTGTAAAATGGACCAATCAGCAGGATGTGGGTGGGGCCAGATAAGAGAATAAAAGCAGGCTGCTCAAGCCTGCAGTGGCAACCTGCTGGGGTTCCATTGCAGAGGTGGAAGCTTTGTTTGTTTGCTTTGTGCAATAAATCTTGGTGCTGCTCATTTTTTGGATCCAGACTTCCTTTATGAGCTGTAACACTCACTGGGAAGGTTTGCAGCTTCACTTCTGAAGCCAGCGAGACCACGAACCCATTGGGAGGAACTAACAACTCCAAACATGTAGGCTTAAGACCTGTAAGCTCACCGCGAAGGTCTGCAGCTTCACTACTAAGCCAGGGAGATGACGAATCCACCAAAAGGAAGAAACTCCAAATACATCCGAACATCAGAAGGAACAAACTGCGGACACACCACCTTTAAGAACTGTAATACTCACCGCGAGCGTCCGCGGCTTCATTCTTGAAGTCAGTGAGACCAAGAACCCACCAATACTGGACACAGTTTGGCTGTGTCCCTACCTAAATCTCACCTTGAAGTGTAATAATCTCCATGTGTCAAGGGCCAAGCCAGGTGGGGATAATTGAATCATGGGGGCGGTTTCCCACATAGTGTTCACCTGGTACTGAATATGTCCAATGAGATCTGATGGTTTTATCAAGGGCAGTTCCCCTGCACAAGCTCTCTTGCCTGGCGCCCTGTACGACATGCCTTTGCTCCTCCTCTGCCTTCCACCATGATTGTGAGGCTTCCCGAGCCATGTGGAACTGTGAGTCCATTAAACCTGTTTTTCTGTGTTAAATTACCTAGTCTCGGTATGTGTTTATTAGCAGTGTGAGAAGAGGCTAATACACCATGGTAGTTCAGTTTTATGCTGTCCCGGGAGGTCTGGGAAGGCTTCCTAGCAGAGGTGATACCTAAGCAGGACCTTGAAGGGTGATTAGGAATGAGCCAGGCAGGGGGCGTGGAAAGGGCAGTCCAGAGTGAAGAGATGCTCAGCCACCAGGCAGGAAGGCAAGGTGGGTGTAGTGTGGGGAGGGCACCTGGCAGCTGAGGGAGTTCCTGGATGTCGGGAGAGTCTTGGACCCTGGCAGCAGAGAGGGCGCTTGACTGTGAAGGCTGCAGGCTGCCAGCAGAGGTTTTCAGCAGGAGGAACACATATATTTGATTCCTCCTTCTGAGGAGGGGCTGCAAAGAAGGCTGTCCTCTGAACACCAGGAATAAGAAATAGCGCCAGACCCTCTTAAATTCTTACTGAGGGGAAAAGTGAACTCCAGAATGCAAATGTCACTTGGAAGCAGTAAAGCTTCATGCAGAAGAAAAGGGTGCCAGGTACCATGCCAGCGGCTTTAATGAATATTGATAGTCAAGGTTTAGGGAGTGTTCAGTCCATGCCAGGCGCCACTGGGAAGTTCTGTATGTTGTATCTCTGGCATCTCATTTTCTGTAATCCTTGCAACCACTCCAGGTACCTGGTTTGGTTATTCACACTCCCCAGATGCAGGGAGAGATGAAACTGCTTGCCTAAGATCACAGCTTTTAAGACGCAGACCCAGGACCCAAATCCAGAGTCCACCATACCCCTGGTCATTTCTCACTCATTTTCAGCCAGCTCTCCCTAGAAGACAGAGCTGGGGCTCTGGCCAAAGGGCCACAGCCTGTAAACAGGAGGTGGCTGGCTTGGGCAGAAGAACCAGTGTTTGTTTCTTTCTTGTTAATTGGTTATTCCTTTCAGAAAGGAGCAGGTGCCTTAGCGACCACCCAAACAGCACTCAATAAGGTGGTTCCAGAAAGACACAGGACCCAGGGCAGCCAGGCAGGCTCCTCCTTTGGCTCACATCAGCAGAGCAGCCTGGAGTGAGAACCCAGGTAGCCAGTGTCTGTATTTGCCAGCTCCCAGCCTCCCTGGCTCCAGCTCCAAGATCAGTACTTTAAGAACAACAGGTTTTTTGCTGTGCAAACATGCAGGGATAGATTAATGGAATTTGAAGTGGCTCAGGTTGGGCCCCACGGTTTGGACTGGAAATCTGGTTTGGTTTAACTGTCTGCCATCACTGTTTGCAGGGGACTCTTTTTTTCATCCTTAGGTTCACAGAACCACAGATGTTAGAGCTGGCGATGACCTCAGAATACAGCCAGGCTTTTGACAAAAGAGGACACTGCTTCCCAGAGAAGAAAGGGACCAGCCCAAAGATGCACTGCCAGGTGGCTATCACAGGGATTCTGAGGGCCACTCAAGGTCAAAGTAGAAGTGATTTCTCTTGAGACCTTAAAAGAATATATGTAAATATATGTGTGTGTATGTATACATACTATATACAGTATATATATATATTTGTACATATGTATATTGTATATATACATATATGTAGTTGTATACAATAAAATGCACAGATCTTGTGTCTAGTTCAATGAGGTTTTCAAAAACAGCTTTACTGAGGCATAGTTGAAATACAATAAGCTATGTGTATTTATTTTTTATTTTATTTTATTTTTTTAGACGGAGTCTCGCTCTGTCACCCAGGCTACAGTAGAGTGGCTCCATTTTGGCTCGCTGCAACCTCTACTTCCTGGTTTCAAGCAATTCTCCCGCCTCAGCCTCCGTAGTAGCTGGGATTACAGGCACCCCCCACCATGCCCAACTAATTTTTGTATTTTTAGTAGAGACAGGGTTTCACCATATTGGCCAGGCTAGTCTCAAACTCCTGACCTCAAAGGATCCACCCGCCTTGGCCTCCCAAAGGGCTGGGATTACAGGCATGAGCCACTGCGCCCGACCTTATTTTTGAATTAGAGACAAGGTCTCACTGTGTTACCCAGGCTGGTCTTGAACTCCTGACCTCAGGTGATCCACCCGCCTCAGCCTCCCAAAGTGCTGGGATTACAGGTGTGAGCCACCGCACCTGGCACGCTACACCTATTTGAAGTGTACATTTTCGCCGAGCGTGGTGGCTCACGCCTGTAACCCCAGCACTTCAGGAGTTCCAGGCAGGAGGATTGCTTGAGCCCAGGAGTTCAAGACAAGCCTGGGCAACATGGCGAAACCCCATCTCTACAAAAAATACAAAATATTAGCCAGGTGTGGTGGTGCGTGCCTATAGTCCCAGCTACCAGGGAGGGTGAGGTGGGAGGATTGCGTGAGCCGGGGAATTCGAGGCTGTAGTGAGCTGTGACCGCACCATTGTACTCCAGCCTGGGTAATGGAGCAAGACCCTGTCTCAAAAAAATTTTCATAAATGTTGACATACATACACACCCATGAACTGTCACAGTTAATACAAGAGAACAAACCCATCACCCTCAAAAGTTTCCTTGTGCCCCTTTGTAACTCCTCCCTCTTACCCATCCTTGATCCTCACCCCCATACTCAGGCAACCACTGATCTATTTTCTGTCAGTATAGACTCATTTGCACCTTTCTATAATGTTATATAAATGGGATCATACAGCATATACCAGTTTTTGTCTGGCACCTTTCACTGAAAATAACTATTATGAGACTCATCCATGTTGTAGCATGTCCAATACTCTTTTTATTGTTGAATAATATTCCATTGTATAAACCACTATGTGTTTATGCATTCCAGGCTGAAGAGATGCATTCTTCACTTATGCATTCACCTATTCACTCACCTTTTGATTAACTTTGGGTTATTCCCAGTTGTGGCTATTACAAATAAGACTGCTATGAACATTTATGTACAACTCTTTAAACATTTTTTAATGTTTTCTTTTCTTTCTTTTCCTTTTTTTTTTTTTTGAGATGGAGTTTCACTTTTGTTGCCCAGGCTGGAGTGCAGTGGTGCAATCTCAGCTCACTGCAAACTTTGCCTTCTGGATTCAAGCGATTCTCCTGTCTCCACCTCCCAAGCAGCTGGGATTACAGGTACCCGCCTCTGTGCCCAGCTAATTTTTGTATTTTTAGTAGAGATAAGGTTTCACCATGTTGGCCAGGCTGGCAGGCTGGTCTCGAAGTCCTGACCTGACCTCAGGTGATCCACCCACCTCAGCCTCCCAAAGTACTGGGATTATAGGTGTGAGCCACTGCACTCGGCCTTCTTTTCTTTTCTTTTCTTTTCTTTTCTTTTCTTTTTTTTTTGAGATGGAGTTTCACTCTTGTTGCCCAGGCTGGAGTGCAATGGCACAATCTTGGCTCACTGCAACCTCCGCCTCCTGAGTTCAAGCGATTCTCCTGCTTCAGCCTCCCGAGTAGCTGGGATTACAGGCATGTGCCACCACATCTGGCTAATTTTGTATTTTTACTAGACACAGGGTTTCTCCATGTTGGTCAGGCTGGTCTCGAACTCCCAGACTCAGGTGATTTGCCCACTTCGGCCTCCCAAAGTGTTGGGATTACAGGCAAGAGCCACCACGCCCGGCCCTTTTCTATATATATATATATCTATATATATTTAGAGACAGGGTCTCACTCTGTCACCCAGGCTGGAGTGCAGTGGCACAATCATAGCTCACTATAATCTCCGACTCCTGGCCTCAAGAGATCCTCCTGCCTCAGCCTCCCAAAGTGTTGGGATTACAGGCGTGAGCCACCATGCCTGGCCTGTGTACAAGTCTTTCTGTAGATATATACTTTCATTTGTCTTGAGGAAGCACCTAGGAGTGGAATCGCTGGATGAGGTAGGTGTGTTTTTAACTTTTAAAAATTATCCGTTTTCCACAGTGGTTGCATCATTTTACATTCCCATCATTAGAGTATGAGAGTTCCAGTTGTTCTACATCCTCACCAACATTTTGGAGGCCTTCTGTCGAGGGAGCCAGACATATCCACGTTGAATATTAATAAAATTGGTTGTGCATATCAGTCTTTTGTGAGTTTTGAACTGAAAATGGGCATCAAGAGACTGAGCTCTGGTTCATTTATTGCCTCATTCTTTCATTTACTCATCAAACTGTCTCTGTGAACCTACAGTCAGCCTTTTTTTAAAAAAAGAAAAAATTCATTTCATTTTTGGGACAGAGTCTCACTCTGTTGCCTAGGCTAAAGTGCCATGGCATGAACACAGCTCACTGCAGCCTCAACCTTCTGGGCTCAAGTAATCCTCCTACCTCAGCCTCCCAAGTATCTGGGACCACAGGTGTGCACCACCACACCTGGCTAATTTTTTTATTTTTATTTTTGTAGAGATAGGATATCACCATGTTTCCCAGGTTGTTCTTGAACTTCTGGGCTCAAGTGATTCTCCCACCTCACCCTCCCAAAATGCTGAGATTATAGGCATTAGGCATGAGTCATCATGCACAGACCTTTTTTTTTTTTTTAAGAGATGGGATCTTGCTATGTTGCCCAGGCTGGCCTCCAACTCCTGGGCTCAAGTAGTGATCTGTCTCAGCCTCTTGAGTTTGTGGGAAGCCAGCCTTTTTATTGTAGCTATTCTAACTGGTGTGTGGTTGTATCTCACTGTGTTTTTGCTTTGCATTTCCCTGATGACTAATGATTTGGGCGTCTTTTCATGTGCTTATTTGCCATCCATATATTTTCTTTGGTGAAGGGTCTGTTCGGATCTTTTGCCCATTTTATTATTAGATGGCTTGTTTTTTCATTATTGCATTTTGAGAGTTTTTTTTTTTAATACTTTAAGTTCTAGGGTACATGTGCACAATGCGCAGGTTTGTTACACAGGTATACAAGTGTCATGTTGGTTTGCTGCACCCATTAACTCATCATTTACATTAGGTATTTCTCCTAATGCTATCCCTCCCCCTGCCCCGCACCCCACGACAGGCCCCAGGGTGTGATGTTCTCCTCCCTGTGTCCAAATGATCTCATTGTTCAATTTCCACCTATGAGTGAGAACATGTGGTGTTTGGGTTTCTGTCCTTGTGATAGTTTGCTCAGAATGATGGTTTCCAGCTGCATCCGTGTTCCTGCAAAGGACATGAACTCATCCTTTTTTATGGCTGCATAGTATTTCCTGGTGTATATGTGCCACATTTTCTTAATCCAGTCTACCATTGATGGACATTTCTGTTGGTTCCAAGTATTTGCTATTGTGAATAGTGCCACAATAAACGTGTGTACATGTGTCTTTACAGTAGCATGATTTATAATCCTTTGGGTATATACCCAGTAATGGGATTGCTGGGTCAAATGGTATTTCTAGTTCTAGATCCTTGAGGAATTGCCACACTGTCTTCCGCAATGGTTGAACTAATTTACACTCCCACCAACAGTGTAAAAGTGTTCCTATTTCTCCACATCCTCTCCAGCATCTGTTGTTTCCTGACTTTTTAATGATCGTCATTCTAACTGGTGTGAGAAGGTATCTCATTGTGGTTTTGATTTGCATTTCTCTGATGACCAGTGATGATGAGTATTTTTTCCTGTGTCTGTTGGCTGCATAAATGTCTTCTTCTGAGAAGTGTCTGTTCATATCCTTTGCCCACTTTTTGTTGCGGTTGTTTGGTTTTTTTTATTGTAAATTTGTTTAAGTTCTTTGTAGATTTTGGATATTGGCCCTTTGTCAGATGGGTAGATTGCAAACATTTTCTCCCATTCTGTAGGTTGCCTGTTCACTCTGATGGTAATTTCTTCTGCTGTGCAGAAGCTCTTTAATTAGATCCCATTTGTCAATTTTGGCTTTTGTTGCCATTGCTTTTAGTGTTTTAGTCATGAAGTCCTTGCCCATGCCTATGTCCTGAATGGTATTGCCTAGGTTTTCTTCTAGGGTTTTTATGGTTTTAGGTCTAACATTTAAGTCTTTAATCCATCTTGAATTAATTTTTGTATAAGGTATAAGGAAGGGATTCAGTTTCAGCTTTCTACATATGGCTAGCCAGTTTTCCCAGCACCATTTATTAAATAGGGAATCCTTTCCCCATTTCTTGTTTTTGTCAGGTTTGTCAAAGATCAAATGGTTGTAGATCTGTGGTGTTATTTCTGAGGGCTCCGTTCTGTTCCATTGGTCTATATCTCTGTTTTGATACCAGTACCATGCTGTTTTGAGAGTTCTTTATCTATTTGTTTTTGTTTGTTTGTTTTATGTTTTGTTTTTTGTTTTTTTGAGACAGAGTCTTGCTCTGTCGCCCAGGCTGGAGTGCAATGGCGCGATCTCAGCTCACCGTAACCTCAGCCTCCCGGGTTCAAGTGATTCTCCTACCACAGCCTCCCAAGTAGCTGGAATTACAGGCAGGCACCACCACACATGGCTAATTTTTGTATTTTTTTTTTTTTAGTAGAGACGGTTGTTGTTGGCCAGGCTGGCCTCGAACTCCTGACCTCAGGTGATCTGCCCACCTTGGCCTCCCAAAGTGCTAGGATTACAGGTATGATCCACCACACCTGGTCCTTTATCTATTTTGAATACATATTCTTTGTTTTTTATTTTATTTATTTTTTTCTTTTTTGAGACAAGAGTTTTGCTCTTGTTGCCCAGGCTGGAGTGCAATGGCATGCTTGGCTCACCACAACCTCTGCCTCCCGGATTCAAGCAATTCTCCTGCCTCAGCCTCCTAAGTAGCTGAGATTACAGGCATGCATAACCACACCTGGCTAATTTTGTATGTTTAGTAGAGACGGGGTTTCTCCATGTTGGTCAGGTCGGTCTTGAACTCCCAACCTCAGGTGATCCGCCCGCCTCAGTCTCCCAAAGTGCTGGGATTACAGGCATGAGCCACTGCTCCTGGCCTTGAATACATGTTCTTTATCAGATATATGATTTACACTATTTCTTCTAGTCTGTGGCTTGTCTTTTCATTCTTTTAATAGTGCCTTTTAAAGAGCAGGAGTTTTTTTATTTTGGTGAAGTCCAATTGATCAATATTTTTCTTTTATGGCTCATGATCTTTTGGTATATTTAGGAGTCATTGCGTAACTCAAGATCACAAGAATTTTATCCTCTGTGTTCTTCTAGCAGGCTTATAATTTTAGGTTTTTCATTGTTGTTGCTCTCTTCAGAGACAAGGTCTTGTTTGTCACCCAGACTGGAGTGCAGTGGCTTGATCATAGCTCACTATAACCTTGAACCCAAGCAATCCTCCTGCCTCAGCCTCCCAAGTAGCTAGGACTACAGGCACATGCCACTACAACCGTAGTCTAAGTTAAAAATTTTTTTCATGGAGACAGAATCTCACTATGTTGCCCAGGGTGGTCTCGAACTCTTGGACGCGAGCGATTCTCCTGCCTCAGCCTCTCAAAGTGCTGGGATTATAGGCATAAGCCACCATGCCCAGCCAAATTTAGGTTTTATAATTAGGTCTATAATCCATTTTGAGTTAATTTTTGTATATGGTATAAGGAATAAATCAACATTCCTTTTTTTGCTTTGCACATAAAATCCAATTATCCCAGCACTATTTGTTGAAAAGACAATCCTCTCTCTATTTAATTGCTTTTGCATCTTTGTCAAAAATAAGTAATCCATATGTATGTTGGTCTATTTGTTCCATTGACCTATTTGTCTATTTTGTTGCCAATACCACACTGTCTTTTTGTAGGCTTTTTTTTTTTTTTTTGACAGAGTCTCACTCTGTCACCCAGGCTGGAGTGCAGTGGCACAAACACGGCTCACTGTAGCATCGACCTCCTGGGCTCAAGCAATCCTCCTATCTCAGCTTCTCAAGTGCTAGGACCACAGGCACATGCCACCACACCTGGCTAATTTTTTTATTTTTATTTTTGTAGAGACCAGGTCTCACCATGTTGTCCAGGCTGGTCTTGAATTCCTGGCCTCAAGCGATCTGCCTACCTTGGCCTCCCAAAGTCCTGAGATTACAGGTATGAGCCACTATGCCTGGCCTGTTTTTTAAAAAACTTTTAGTTTCTAACTTGTAATTGCTAGTGTATAGACATACGATTTTTTTGCATATCAATCATGCAACCTACAATTTTGTTAAATTCACTTATTCTAATTTTTTCATAGATTTAATCAGATTTTCTACATAGATAATCCTGTTGTCTGTGAGTAAAAACAGTTCCATTTCCTTTTTTCCAATCTGGATGCCTCTTGCCTCTCATTTCTTTTATTTATTTATTTATTTATTTATTTATTTATTTATTTATTTATTTTTGAGATGGAGTTTCACTCTAGTCACCCAGGCTGGAGTGCAGTGGCGGGACCTCAGCTCACTGCAACCTCCACCTCCCAGGTTCAAGCAATTCTCCTGACTCAGCCTCCTGAGTAGCTGGGATTACAGGTGCTTGCCACTACCCCCTGGATGCCTTTTTTTCCTTCTTCTCTTGTTGCACTGGCCACATACAATGTTGAATAGAAGTGGTAAGATGAGATATCCTTGTCTTGTTCCTGATCTTGAGGAGAAACTTTCAGTCTTTCACCATTAAGAATGATGTCAGCTAGGCCAGGAGCGGTTGCTCACACCTGTAATCCCAGCACTTTGGGAGGCCGAGGCAGATCACCTGAGGTCAGGAATTTGAGACCAGCCTGGCCAACATGGTGAAACTCTGTCTCTACTAAAAATACAAAAATTAGCTGGGTGTGGTGGTGCACACCTGTAATCCCAGCTACTCAGGAGGCTGAGGCAGGAGAATCACTTGAACCTGGGAGGCGGAGGTTGCAGTGAGCCGAGATTATGCCACTGCACTCCAGCCTGGGTGATGAGAGTTAAACTGCCTCAGACCAAAAAAAAAAAAAAATGATGTCAGCTGTAGGTTTTGGTAGATTAACTTTATCAGGAAGGACGATGGCCTTTATTGAAGGAGTTTCCTTCTTTTCCTAGATTGCTAAAAGCTTATATCAGGAATGGATGTCAAATTTTGCCAAATTCTTCTTCTGTGTCATTGAGATGATCTATATTTATTTTGTCTGTTAATATGAAGAATTACATAAATTGATTTTTTTTGTTGTTTTTTTTTTTGTTTTTTTGAGATGGAGTCTCACTCTGTCACCCGGGCTGGAGTGTAGTGGTGCAATCTCGGCTCACTGCAACCTCCGCCTCCCAGGTTCGAGTGATTCTCCTGCCTCAGCCTCCCAAGTTGCTGGGATTACAGGCACCCGCCACCAAGCCTGGCTAATTTTTGTATTTTTAGTAGAGATAGGGTGTCACCATGTTGGCCAGGGTGGCCTCTAACTCCTGGCCTCAAGTGATCCACCCACCTTGGCCTCCCAAAATGTTGGGATTACAGGCGTGAGCCACCATGCCTGGCCTATAAATTGATTTTTGAATGTTAAAATAATTTTACTTTCCTGAACTAAACCCCACTTATTCACAACATGTTATTCTTTTAATATATATTGTTGGATTAAATTTGCTAAAATTTGGTTAAGAATTTTTGCATCTATTTCATGAGGAATATTGGTCTGTATTTTTCTTTTCTTGTAATGTCTTTGTTAGGTTTTGGTATCAGAATAATGCTGACCTCATAGAATGAGTTAGGAGGTGCTCCCTCTTCTTCAGTTTTCTAGAATACTTCATGTAGAATTGGTATTATTTCTTCCTTGAATGTTTGGTAAAATTCACTAGTGGTGATGGCAGTGGTGGCCTGTCTGGAGCGGCTGCTGCCATCATGTCAGCTGCAGCAGGGAGGTGCAGCCAGGGCTGCACACTCTGTGAAGCCGGTGACAAGTGGGAGCCCTGTCCCTTCCAAGTTGGTGGGGGTGGGAGCTCCCCAGGTGCAGCCGCAGCCACCCAAGTTGTGGCTGCAGACTCAGGCCTCCGGCTCCATGTTGCTGGCAGGAGCCCTACCCTCCCAAACTGTGGCTGTGGACCCAGGCATCCCTGCACTTTGGGGGGCCCGAGAAGGAGCCCCTGTCCTCACAGGCTCAGAAATGCCTGCTCCCACTGCCTGGCTTCTCTCTGCTTTTGGCACCTGATCCAATCTCAGAGCAAAGTCAGGGCCGAACCTAGGCCCGAACCTAGGCGCTCTCATAGCCCAGCCAGGTGTGCACATGCTCAGGGCAGTGCAGACACGCCAGCCCCCTGCTGCCCTGGCCCCCTTTGGGACCTTGGGCACCAACGAGCATGGGAGGAAAGCCAAGTGGGGGCTGAGGGCAGCTCAGCACTGGCCTTCAGGCACCCCTTGGCATGAACAGCCTGGGTGCCATGAATGGCAGTGGGAGGCAGACAGGCTCCTGGGCAGAAGGGGGTGGGTCCCTGGTGAGCTGCCAGTCCCGCAGACAGGAGTGGGAATTTGTGGTGCCTTTTCCAGGCCCACCCATGGCCACCCATGGACCAATCAGCATGTACTTCCTCCCCTCTGAGGCACATAAAATCCCCAGGCTCTGCCAGAGCTGGGCAGATGTTGGGATGACCAGTTGAAGAGAGGAGCTACCCACTGCAGGGCCCCTCTCTGCTGAGATTCAAGCAGACATTGAGACAACCAGCTGCAGAGAGGAGCTACCCATTCCAGGGCCTCTTCTCTGCTGAGAGCTGCAGAGATGACAGGACAACCTGCCTGTAGAGAGGAGCTTCTGATTCCACAGTCTCCTCTCTGCTAGGAGCTGAACACTCGTTGGGACAGCCAGGCTGTGGAAAGGAGCTGCCCCCTGCAGGAGACTGAGGGGTTCTATCACTCAGTAAAGCTCCTCTTCACCTTGCTCACCTTCCACTTTTCTGAGTACCTCATTCTTTCCA
The DNA here is from genome assembly GCF_000001405.40 of Homo sapiens. Classification (NCBI taxonomy): domain Eukaryota; kingdom Metazoa; phylum Chordata; class Mammalia; order Primates; family Hominidae; genus Homo; species Homo sapiens. The sequence continues at coordinate 53,992,173 of NC_000001.11, read as the reverse complement.
GTTGCAGGACAAGAACTTGGGACCCATCAAATGGTGGGACTAAAAGAGCTGTAACACAGACAGGGATGAAACATGCCCCCTTGTTCACCGTGTTGTGGGTGAAGAGGAGAGAAGAGCTGTGTCCCTTCAGGGAGGCCAGACCTGGGAGTTCCCCAAGCCAGGGCTGTGACTCCCTCTTTGGGGCCCTGCAGTTCCTAGCATCTCCAAGCTTCTATGTGCCACTGTGTTCCCTGGTGCCAGCCATGGAAGCTGCTTGAGGTTTGCCGGGTCTGGCCACAGCCTCACAGAGAGCTGCCCACCTCACTGTAGCAGCCAGCATGTCTGACTTTGCGCAGTGGCCAGACCCCAGGCTCGCTCACACACCTCTCGCCGTTCCATGCCTGACTCACCCTTGACCAGTGTGGGACCCAGGCTGGTATCATGAGCCGAGTGCAGCCTGCCAGATCGAGTGGGCAAAATGAGCCCAGCGGGCCCGAGCAAAACTCGGGCAAAGGTGCCACCAACCACAGAGTTTATGGCCAGAAAAATTGACACCCCAAAGATCTTTTTCTGTTGTTGTTGTTCATTCGTCAAACATTTATTGAGCGCCTGCTACATGCAAAACACTATTAACTAGTGCACAGACATTCTCAGAACAACAATCCTGCATTTCCTGGAGAGGGATGGCAGAAGAGGAGTGCTGCCTTGTTGTGAGGTTCTCCCAACTTCTTTTCTTCCTTGGGAATTGTTCTCTTCAATGTGGCACCAGCGGCAACCTTCATTCTTAGGTCGCACAAACCTTCAATATCCATCCTGCTTCCTTTATAGCTGTTTCACTTGAAAACTAATATGTGGGAGCACTTCCTGCAGCAAACTGCTCTTGAATTCTTTTTTTTAATTAATTTATTTTTTTAAGACGGAGTTTCATTCCTGTTGCCTAGGCTGGAGTACAATGGTGCGATCTCAGCTCACCACAACCTCTGCCTCCTGGGTTCAAGCGACTCTCCTGCCTCAGCCTCCCAAGTAGCTAGGATTACAGGCATGCACCACCATGCCCAGAGAATTTTGTATTTTTAGTAGAGACGGGGTTTCTCCATGTTGTTCAGGCTGGTCTCAAACTCCCAACCTCAGGTGATCTGCTCGCCTCAGCTCCCAAAGTGCTGGGATTACAGGTGTGAGCCACCACACCTGGCCAACACCCCAAAGATCTTATAACAGTGTAACCATCTGACTTGCAGTTTTCTTTGTGGGATGATTTTTAATTACAAATTTAACTTCTTTAATAGATATGCAACTATTTAGATTATTTCTTCTTGAGTGAGCTTTGGTATTATTTTTCAAGGAATTTATCCATTTCATCAAAGATGCTGAATTTACTGGCATAAAGTTATTTGTAATATTTTGTTATTATGCTTTTATATCTGTAGAATCTGTAGTAATCCCAACCTTTCTCATTTCTTATATCAGTATTTTGTGTCTCCATTTTTTTCCCTGATCAGTTTGGCTAGAGGTTTATCAATTTTACTGATATCTTCTTTTTTTTTTGTTGTTGGTCTTACTAGAAATATTATATTACTCTGTGTGTACTTGAGAAGAATGTGTATTCTGCTGTTGTGGGATTCTGTGAGTGGACTTCAAAAAGTTCCACTTCAAAAAGGGGAAAAGTGGAATAAAAATTTAAAAAATTTAAAAATTTAAAAAGTGGAGATATAAATTAAAAAATGTAAGCTGGGCACGGTGGCTCACGCCTGTAATCCCAGCACTTTGGGAGGCTGAGGCAGGCAGATCACAAAGTCAGGAGATCGAGACCATCCTGGCTAACGTGGTGAAATCCCGACTCTACTAAAAATACAAAACATTAGCCAGGCGTGGTGGCGGGCACCTGTAGTCCCAGCTACTTGGGAGGCTGAGGCAGGAGAATGGCGTGAACCCGGGAGGCGGAGCTTGCAGTGAGCCGAGATTGTGCCCCTGCACTCCAGCCTGGGCAACAGAGCGAGACTCCGTCTCAATAAATAAATAAATAAATAAATGTAAACTTTATTTCTCAACATAAGCTCCATCAAGTTCAAGATGTTTTTGTGAGCAATGATAGCAGCCATTTAGTCCATCCGTAAAGAACTGAGGGTCCTGGGAGTTTAACTATGTCAATGCAATCTATTTTACATTATTAACAGAAGAAAAATGAATGCCCTTTAAAGATTTCTTGAGATTAGAAATCAAAAAGTAGTCAGAAGGAGCCAAATGAGGACTGTAAGGTGGATGCCTAATGATTCCCTAATGGTCACAATTGATGAGAGGAATGAGCAGGAGTATTATCGTGGTGGAGAAGGACTCTGGTGAAACTTTCCCGGGCATTTCTCTGCGAAAGCTTTGGCTAACTTTGTCAAAATACCGCATAATAAGCAGATGATATTGTTCCTTGGCCCTCCAGAAAGTCAACAAGCAAGATGCCTTGAGCATGCTGAAAAAGTGTTGCCTTGACCATTGCTCTTGACTGGTCCACTTCTGCTCTGCCTGGCCCGCTGCCATGATAGTGCTTTGTCTTTAGGATCACACTGATAGAAGGCCATGTTTCATTTCTTCTTACAGTTCTTCAAAGAAATGCTTCAGGATCCGGAGCCCACCTGTTTAAAATTTTCACTGAAAGCTTGGCTCTTGTCTGCAGTGGAACTGGGCACAACAGTTTTGGCACCCATTGAGTAGAACGTTTGCTCAACTTTAATTTTTCAGTCAGAATTGTATAAGCTGAGCCAACTGAGATGTCTGTGGTGTTGGCTGTTGTTTGTACTGTTAGTCATTGGTCCTTTTCAATGCATGAACAAGATGAATTTTTTCCTTACAAATTGATGTGGATGGTCTGCCACTGTGGGCTTCAGTTTCAGCATCATCTCATCCCTTCTTAAAACGAGTGAACCATTTGTAAACTGCTGATGTCTTTGGGGCATTATCTCTGTCAACATTTCATAAGGCATCAATGATTTCACCATTCTTCCACCTAAGCTTCACCATAAATTTGATATTTGTTCTTGCTCAGTGTTAGCAGAATTCATGTTGCTCTGATTGGGGCTCTTTTCAAACTGGAGTCTTATCCTTCTTAGCGTCTCAAGCTAGATAGTGTTCAGACATGTTATAATAAGTTAGTATGAATTTATTTTGGTGCAAAAAGAAATTGAGGCAGGCTGATGCCTGTAATCCCAGCTACTTGGGAGGCTGAGGTGGGAGAATCACTTGGACCCAGGAAATGGAGGATGCAGTAAACTATGATTCCACCACTGCACCCCAGCCTGGGTGACAGAGTGACAACCTGTCTCAAAAAAAAATTGAAATCCACATGTAGTTTTTCATACTCCACATTTTTCATGAACTTTTTGAAGTCCCCTCATATACATCAGATCAGGCGAGCTGCTAGTGTTGTTCAGGTCTACTATATCCTTGCTGAATCTCTTCCCCCTTGTTCTATCAATTATCAAGAGAGGGTATTGAAGTCTCCAACTATAATTGTGGATTTGTCTATTTTTCCTTGCAGATATATCACTTTTTGCTTAATGCATGTTGAATCTCTGTTATTAGGTGCCTAAGCATTTAGGATTGTTATGTCTTCCTGCTCAATTGACCTATTTATCATTTTGAATTGCTCTTCTTTATTCTTGGTACTGTAGTCCCTCTGTATCTGCAAGGGATCTGTTCCAAGACACCTTGTGGATGCCTGAAACCACAGACAGTGCCAAACCTTATATACATTTTGTTTTTTCCTATACATAACATACCTATGGTAAAGTTTACTTTATAAATTAGGCACAGTAAGAGACTAACAACTAATAGTAAAGTAGAACAATTATAAAAATGCACTATTAAAAGTTAAGTAAATGTGTTCTCTCTGTCTCTCAAAATATCTTGTTGTACTGTATTCACCTTTCTTTTTGTGAAGGTGAGATAATAATGACATGATGAGATTAAGTAAGGGGAATAACATAGGCATTGTGAAGTATATGGAAAATTCAGAAACAAACAGATCATAAATTTAAATTGCACACCATCCTGAGTAGCGTGATGAAATCTCCCACAGTCTGGCTTCATCTGCCCAGATTGCCATTAGTCATTTAGTAGCTGTCTTGGTTATCAGGTTGACTGTGCTTATGTTGAACTGCCTGTGTTCAACTAAACCTTATTTTACTTAATGGCCTCAAAGAGGCGGAGTAGTTATGTGATATTTTAGGGCCTGGTTGATCACAGACAACTGAAACCTCAGAAAGTGAAACCATGGATAAGGAGGGACTACTGTAATATTCTTTTTTAAAAAACAAAACAAAAACAACAAGGCCTTGCTCTTCACCCAGGCTGGAGTGCAGTGGCACAATCTTGGCTCTTTGCAGCCTCAGCCTCCAGGGCTCAAGCCATCCTCCCATCTCAGCCTCCCAAGTAGCTGGGACCATAGGTGCACACCACTACATGTGGCTAATTTTTTAATTTTGTAGAGATGGAGTCTCACCATGTTGCTTTGGCTGATCTCAAACTCCTGGGCTCAAGCAGTCCTCCTGTCTCAGCCTCCCAAAGTGCTGGGATTAAAGGCATGAGCCACTCGCCCGGCCTACTGTAATATTCCTTTTTTCTGGAATCTATTTGTCTAATAATAGTTTGACCACCCTAGGTTTTTTAAAATTAGTGTTAGTATGGTATATTTTTCTACCCTTTTACTCTTAACTTTTTTGTGTCTTTATATTTAAAGTGTGTTTCTTTTAGTCAACATATAGTTGGGTCTTGCTTTTTAATTTACCTCACAATCTCCTTTTAAATTGAGAAGTTTAGGCCATTTACATTACATTTAATGTGAATATTAATATGGTTTAAATATGTTGCTATTTGTTTTCTATTTGCCGCCATCTGTTGTTTCCGTTTTCCTTTTTTTTCCTGACATCTTTTGGGTTAAACACATTTTATGATTCCATTTTATCACCTTTGTAGGCTTTGAAACTAAAACTCTGTTTTATTTTAGTGGTTGCTTTAGAGTTTATAGTATAAATCTTGAATTTATCACAGTCTATCTTCATGCGATATAATACCATTTCACATATAGTATAAGAACCTAATTATAGTATACTTCCATTTCTCCTGACCCGACCGCTGTGCAATTGTCATCCATTTTATAATACATTGCTGTTATTCTCATTTAAACAGCCAATTATTTTTAAGGAGATTGAAATAGTAAGAAAGAGATATGTTTAGCAATGTAGTTATTTCCAGTGCTCCTTATTATTTCATGTATAGATCCATATTCCATCTGATATCCTTTTCTTTCTGCCTGGAGGACTTCGATGAACATTTCTTATAGGGCAGGCCTACTGGTAATAAATTCTTTCAGTATTTTAAAGAGGTTTTCCCACTGTTCTCAATGTTTCCAATGAGAAACCTGTCATTTGTATCTTTGTTCCTCTGTATGTAAGGTGTCTTTTTTTCTCTGGCTGATTCTAGATTTTATCATCACTTTTGATCGATTTGATTATGATGTGTGCTTTTGTGTGGTTTTCTTCATGTTTCTTGTACTTAGGGTTCATTGGGCTTCTTGGATTTGTTTTGATCAAGCCTGAAAAATTTTAAACTATTATCTCTTTCTTTTTTCTTTTTTTTTTTTTTTTGACACAGAGTCTTACTCCGTCACCGAGGGTGGAGTGCAGTGGCATGACCTTGGATCACTGCAGCCTTCACCTCCTGGGTTTAAGCAATTCTTGTGCCTCAGCCTCCTGAGTAGCTGGGATTGCAGGTGCCCGCCACCATGCCCAGTTAATTTTTGTATTTTTAGTAGAGACTGAGTTTCACCATATTGGCCAGGTTGGTCTCGAACTCCTGATCTCAAGTGATCCACCTGCCTCAGCCTCCCAAAGTGCTAGGATTACAGGCGTAAGCCACTGCACCCGGCCTATTATTTCTTTAAATATTTTTTTCTGTCCCTCCCCTTCTCTCTCCTCTCCTGAATCCTCAGTTACATACATGTTAGGCTGCTTGAAGCGTACCACAGTTCAGTGATGCTCTGCTCATCTTTAAAAAATTATTTTTCCTCTCTGTATTTTGTTTTGGATAGTTTCTATTGCTGTGCCTGCAAATTCACTAATTTTTTTCTTCTGCTATGTTTAATGTGCCCTTAACTCCACCAGTGCATTTTTCACCTTAGACTGTTTTTTCATCTCTAGGAGTCTGACTTGGGCCTTTTAAAATCCTCCATGTCTCTATTTAACTTTTTCAACATATGAAACACAATGATAACTTTTAATGTCTCTCTCTGCAGATTTTAACATCTGTGTCAGTTCTGAGTTGATTTAGATAGATAGGGTTTTCTCCTTATTATGGATTATATTTTCTTGCTTCTTTTAATGCCTAGTAATTTTATTTTAATATAACAGTTTTATTGAGGTATAATTTACATATCATACAATTTACCTATTTTAAATATACAATGTCGGCCAGGCACGGTGGCTCATGCCTGTAATCCCAGCATTTTGGGAGGCCAAGGCACGTGGATCACCTGAGGTCAGGAGTTTGAGACCAGCCTGGCCAACATGGTGAAACCCTGTCTCTACTAAAAATACAAAAATTAGCCGGGCATGGTGGTGTGCACCTGTAATTCCAGCTACTTGAGAGGCCGAGGCAGGAGAATCACTTGAACTCTGGAGGTGGAGGCTGCAGTGAGCAGAGATCGTGCCACTGCACTCCAGACTGGGACAAAGCGAGACTCCATCTCAAAAATAAAATAAAATAAAATAAAAATACAGTGCAATGTTCTTTAGTATGTCCACAGAGTTGTGCAACCATCATCATAATCACTTTTAAAACATTTTAGCCACTCCCAAAAGAAACTCTGTACCCATTAGCAGTCACTCCCCAACTCCCCATCCCTAGGCAACTACTTTTTCTCTGTAGATTTTCTGATTCTGAACATTTCACATCAATGGAATCCTACAATATGTGGTCTTTTCTCACTGGCTTCTTGTCCTTGCATAATGTTTTCAAGGTTCATCCATATAGTAGCATGTATCAGTACTTCGTTCCTTTTTATTGCTAATAATATTCCACTGTACTGAGTAGACCACATTTTGTTTATCCATTCATCAGTTGATAGACACTGGGTTGTTTTTACTTTTGAACTATTATGAATAATGTTGCCATGAACATTTGTGTACCTGTTTTGCATGGATCTACATTTTAATTTCTCTAGGAGTGAGACTGCTGGGTCATATGGTAACTATGTTTAACCTTCTGAGGAACTGCCAGACTCTCTTCCACAGTGACTGTATTGTCTGACATTCTTACCAGCAGTGTATGAGGGTTCCAGTTTTTCCACATCCTAACACTGGCTGTTATCTGTTTTTTTGATGATAGCCATTCTTGTGAGTGTGAAGTGGCATCTTACTGTGATTTTAATTTGTATCTCCCTGGTGGCTAATGATGTTGAGTACCTTTTCATGTGCTTATTGGCCATTTGTTTATCTTGTTTGGAGAAATGTCTACTCAGGTAAATGTCTGTTATTTGTCTTTTTGTTGTTGAGTTGTAAGAGTTTTTTTTTTCTTTCTTTCTTTTGAGACGGAGTCTCGCTCTGTCCCAGGCTGAAGTGCCATGGTGCAATCTCAGCTCACTGCAACCTCTTACTCCCAGGTTCAAGTGATTCTCCTGCTTCAGCCTCCCGAGTAGCTGGGATTACAGGCATGTGCCACCATGCCCAGCTAATTTTTGTATTTTTAGTAGAGATGGGGTTTCACCATGTTGGACTGGCTGGTCTTGAACTCCTGACTTCAGGTGATCTGCCCACCTTGACCTCCCAAAGTGCTGGGTTTACAGGCATGAGCCACCGCACCCGGCCAAGAGTTCTTTATGCATTCTGGATACTAGATCTTTATTAGACATGTGATGTAATGTTTTCTCTAATTCAGTGGGCCTGTCTTTCCCTTTCCTGATGGTGTCCATCAAAGGATAAAAGAATTTAGTTTTGATAAATTGACAAAAATAAAAAGATAAATTAAAATTTATTTTTCTAATTGACAAAAAGGATAAATTAGAAAAATAAATTTCAACTTATCTTTATTTTTGTCTATTGTGTTTTGTTTATTTGTTTATTTGAGAGACAGAGTTTCGCTCTTGTCACCCAGGCTGGAGTGCAATGGTGCGATCTCGGCTCACTGCAGCCTCCACCTCCCGAGTTCAAGTGATTCTCCTGCCTCAGCCTCCCGAGTAGCTGGGATTACAGGTGCCTGACACTATGCCCAGCTAATTTTTTGTATTTTTAGTAGAGATGGGGTTTCACTATTTTGGCCAGGGCTGGTCTCGAACTCCTGGTCTCAAGTGATCTGCCCGTCTCAGCCTCCCAAAGTGCTGGGATTACAGGCATGAGCCACTGAGCCCTACCAACTGTCAGTTGTTTTTGGTGTCATATCTAAGAAGGCTTTGTCTAACCCAAGGTCATGAAGATTTATGGCTATATTTTCTTCTAAGAGTTTTATAGTTTTAACCCTGATATTTAAGTCTATGATCCATTTTGAGTTAAATTTTGGATATAGTATGAAGAAAAAAGTCTAACTTTATTCTTTTATATGTGGATATCCAGTTGTTGTCTGGTACCGTTTGTTGGAAAGACTATTCTTGGCTAGGCACGGTGGCTCATGCCTGTAATCCCAATACTTTGGGAGGCCAGGAGTTTGAGACCAGCCTAGACAACGTAGTGAGACCCTGTCTCTACACAAAATTAAAAAAAAAAAAGTTAGCCAGGCATGGTGGCATGAGCCTGTGGTCCCAGCTACTCAGGAAGCTGAGGTAGGAGGATCTCTTGAACCCAGGAGTTCCAGGCTGCAGTGAGCTATGATCACACCACTGTACTCCAGCCTAAGTGACAGATCGAGATCCCATCTCTAAAACAAGAAAAAATACAGAAAAGACTATTCTTTTCCCTTTCAATTATCTTGGCACCCTTGTCAAAAGTCAATTGTTTGTAAAGTGAGGGTTTATATATAGACCATGCCAAGTAATTTTTTACTGGACCAGACATTAAGATTTTTCATTTGTCAGGTGCTAGGTATTTTTGATTTCCTGTAAATATTCTCGAGCTCTGTTTTGGGACTGCAGTTAAGTTACTTGAAACAGTTTGATCCTTTAAATTCTTGCTTTTAAGATTTATTGGGTGGGAGCAGAGCCATGTTTTGTCTAGGCTAATTATTACCTAGGATTAATTATTCCCCATGACTGAGGCAAGACTCTCCCGAGTGCCCTATCCAATACCCCATGGATAATGAGGCTTTCCTGTCTGACTGGTGGGAACAGAAGCTATTCTGTTTTTTATGACCATCAAAGTTAGATTCCTCTCATCCTTCTGGGTGGTTCCTACCCTGGCCTGGAGTGGGTTGCTCACACGCACATGCTGAGCAGCACTCCGCTGAAGTTCTCTCTCTGCGCATTATCTCCGGAGATGTCTCTGTGCCGCTCCTCCTCTCCAGTATGCTGTCCTGGGAGCTCCTGCTGCTTCAATTCAGGAATTCTGTTGGGCTCCGCCTCTGCTCCCCTTCCCTGTGCTGCAGCCTGGAAACTTCCCCCGCAGGCAGCTGGAGCCATCGCGGGGCTCACCTCGTTTGCTTCCTGTTTCTCCGGGATCACTGTCCTTTGTTGCCTGCTGTCTAGCACTTTGAAACTATTGCTTCATACATTCTGCCCAGTTTTTTCCAGGCAGGAGGGTGAATGTGACCCCCGTTATTCCTTCTTGGCTGCTTTCTGAATCCTTTGAGCAAATAGTCATGTGTTTTAGTTCGGGCTGCCATAACAGAATACCAAACACTTGGTGGCTTAAATAACAAATAATTATTTCTCATAATTCTGGAGGCCGGAATTCTGAGATCGGTGCCAACATGGTCAGGTTCTTCGTGAGGGCTCTCTTCCTGGTTATGGCCTCCGATGGCCTTTCCTTGGTGCAAGCATTCAGGGAGGGAGAGAAGTAGGGGGGAAGGAGGAGGAGGAGGTGGGTGGAGGAGGAGACAGCAAGAGAGCACTGTGTCTCTTCCTCTTTTTATTTAGTTTTTTAGAGATGGAATCTCGCTCGTCACCCAGGCTGGAGTGCAGTGGTGCGATCTCAGTTCACTGCAACCTCCGCCTCTCGGGTTCAAGCTATTCTCCTGCCTCAGCCTCCCGAGTAGCTGGGATTACAAGCATGCACCGCCACACCTGGCTAATTTTTGTATTTTTAGTGGAGATGGGGTTTCACTATGTTGGCCAGGCTGGTCATGAAGTCCTGACCTCAAGTGATCTGCCTGCCTTGGCCTCCCAAAGTGCTGGGATTACAGGCATGAGCCACCGCGCCCAGCCTCTTCCTCTTTTTATAAGGGCATTAATTCCATCTTGGAAGCTCCACCCTCATCATCTAATCTCACCCTAATTACCTCCCAAAGGCCCTACCTCCAAATACCATCACGTTGGGGATTAGAGTTTCAACATGAATTTCAGGGGGACACAAACATTTAGTCCATAGCAGCTTTCTCCAGAGTGTTCCAGCCCCACTCAGTCCTGGGGGTCCATACTTTGCAGATTTGTTCTCCCTCATTCGTGGAGAATACAGGCCCAATCACCATTATTTCATTTTATAGACCAGCAGACTGAGGCAGTGATTTGAGCCGCCTGTTCCGCCCAGGTGGGAGTGATGAAAGTGAATGAGATCAAGGCCTGCAAAATTCTCCATTTAGCCTGCTCAATGCCAAGGGGAAATACCTGGACCTGAGGTCAATCTGGGATTTACACTTGCCTCCAGCCTGTCCCGGCACACATTCCACACTGCTGAGCCTTGTTTTTCCCAACCGCAAAGCACATCGCCATTTATAGAGCACTTTATTTGGAGGATTGTTGCTATCCTCAGTCCGTCATCACCCAGTTTCTCAAAAGAGTAGTCCTGGGATCTGCCACATCAGATTTTTGTTGGAGGTGGAGCACTGTTGCTTATTTAAAACATAGGGCTGGGCGCAGTGGCTCAAGCCTGTAATCCCAGCACTTTGGGAGGCCGAGGCGGGCGGATCATGAGGTCAGGAGATTGAGACCATCCTGGCTAACACGGTGAAACCCCGTCTCTACTAAAAATACAAAAAAAAAAAAAAAAAAAAATTAGCCAGGCGTGGTGGCGGGCGCCTGTAGTCCCAGCTACTCAGGAGGTTGAGGCAGGAGAATGGCTTGAACTCGGGAGGCAGAGCTTGCGGTGAGCCGAGATCACGCCACTGCACTCCAGCCTGGGCGACAGAGCAAGACTGCATCTCAAAAAAATAAAATAATAAAATAAGATAGATTCCTGGGCCCACCTTGGGTCCAACCTGGGCTCTTAGAGTTAAAATAGAGGGGTGGAGGTTATCTGCCCTCAAGTGACCTTTGGGAACCACTGATCCAAACCCTAGTCAATGATTTCCTTCTTAAGAGGTATAATACTTGCTAGATGTGCTATTTTTTTAAGCCGCACTATCCGTTTCTACCCCTAACCTCATGAGCCTTATGTAGCATGATTTTTAAAAAATAAAATGCATCACAATAGTCTTTTGGACCATTTCACAAAACCCTTCAAGATGACAGAGAAATCTGATAAGTATTAGATATTCCTAACTCTGGAAGGGACCTTAAAGGTCATGGAATCCAACCCCGACCTGAGGTTTGGATCGTCTGTGTACCAGCCCTGCCAAATAAACACCTAGCCTCTGCACACTTCTGAAGACAAGGGCCTTGCTACTCCTCTTGGCTTCTGGGACTTTAGAAAATTCCCTCTGCTACTGAATCCACTCTGTCTTGCTTTAATTAGTCCTGGATCCAGAAAACATACCTGTTCCCTCTGCCCTAGGAAAGCCCTTCCTCTGAAAACAGCTGATCATCTCCCCAGAGGCCTCTCAAGTTGCAGAACCCCAAGCTCTTCGGCTGTTCCTCCTGGGATCCAGGTTTTCAAGCTTCTGAGCAAGCCTCAGTGCACAGCTGCACGTGGCTGCCATCATTCACTTATCGCTTGGTTTCCTTTTGCTCCTTGGGGGCCACCGCTTTCCCGAAGGGCAAGGAATGATGCAGCCTGGAGCTTGGTGGCCAGAGACCGCTCTCATTCTCCTGGCTTGCTCCTTGCAGCATATGAACGTGTGTTGTGCTACGGGCTTCCTGATATAAAATGGCTTTCTTCTCTGGGAGGTTCTTCTCTGCCCACCTCCTCAACTCCAAATCAAATGGCTGGTGTCTGCCTGTCTCCTTTACCTGCTCTGGACCAGGAGGCGGCGCTGAGCAGTCCTTGGCTTCTTGGGACTCTCCCCTCTCTAGGTTTCCATAAGGCTGCACTGTCCTGTTTCCTCTTTCTTTGACCATTTCCTCTCAGTTGCCTTTTCCTCTGCCTCTTTTTTTTTTAAGACAGGGTGTCACTCTGTCACCCAAGCTGGAATGCAGCGGCGCAATCACGGCTCACTGCAGTCTCCACCTTCAGGGCTCAGGTGATCCTCCCACCTCAGCTTCCCGAGTAGCTGGGACTACAGGCGCCCACCATCACATCCAGCTAATTTTTGTATTTTTTTGTAGAGATGAGGTTTCACCATGTTGCCCAAGCTGGTCTCGAACTCCTGGCTCAAATGATCCCCCTGCCTCAGCCTCCCAAAGTACTGGGATTGCAGGCGTGAGCCACCGTGCCCTGCCTGCCGCCCTTTCAATATTGCCATTCCCCAGGGCTCCACCCTCTGCCATCTGCTCACTGCATTCTACTTCAGTGTTTCCTAACTTGGGATATTTTCTCCCCTTTGAGAATGTGATGATGACTGTAGATCCTCTCTACAGAATGGGGGAAAAAAACCAACCAAATGCACAATATTTTACATACAATTCCAGGTTCTTAACACAAAGCCTATTTTTCCTCCCAGATTTTAGTCTCACCCTAGCTTCTTCCCAATCTCTCTCTGACCCATAGCTCTCTTGACCCTCAGATGAACAGATCAATAGTCAATGCTAAGTCCCCTCTGTTCCATCAACAAGCTCCCTAGAAGCAGTGTCTGTGTTGTTTATTATGGAGCTTCATCACTGAGCAGAGGGTCTCACTGGTAACAGGAGCTCGGCCACGTGTTGAGGGAATGGTCACCTGTCACTGCCATCCCTCCTTCATCCTCTGCCTCACATCGGGCCTAACCTGGCTCCTCACTGGTCCCCTCCAGGTCAGCTTCCACCTGGTAGCAGAGGCACCCTTCTGAAACTCAGTTCCCTGTCTCCCCTGCTTGGAGTCCTTGAGGGCTCCCTGTGACTTCCAGGATAAAGGGCATCTCTAAAAGGGGTCCCCTGCTGACTGCTCTTGCTTCACTGCTCAGCTCTCTCCAACACCCCTCGGCTCCAGCAACCTGGAACTCCCGAGGGTCTCATGTGCATAAATGCTGCCCCTGCTTCCCATACTCCTGGGCCTGAAATGCCTGGCCCCTCTCTTCTTGGCTTTGCTAATCCATATTCATCCTTCAAAACTCACTCAGGCATCACTATCTTTTGGGAAGCATTTCCTGCCTCACAGCTCTCAGTTAACCATTTTAACATTCCTCCACTGTGGATCCACAGTTCCCAAAGCACACCCCACTCAGAGCACTGGTCGCGCTACATTGTATGTGGGAAGTCACTTGTCTATTCCCTGCCTGAGGGCAGAGACCCTGTCTTATTTGCTTTACCTAACAGAGCCCACAGTAGGTGCCTAATAATTATTTGCTTCATGAGGGAAAGGATGAATGTATCAGTAAGGATTATTCAGAGAAACAGAACCAATAGAGAGTACCGTGTATGTGTACCTAGATCTATAACCTATCTATAATCTGCATCTCAATATATACATAGAGAGAGGTAAGGAGAGAGAGATTTATTTGAGGGAATTGACCCATGCAGTTGCGTGGGCCTAGCAAGTCTGAAATCTGCAGGGCAGGTCAACAGGATGGAAATTCCAGCAGGAGTTGATGCTGAAGTCTTGAATTCACAGGCAGTCAGGAGGCAGAATTCCTTCTTCTTCAGGGGACCTGTCTTTTCTCTTAAGATACTCAACTGACTGGATGACTCCCATATTTTGGAGGGTAATCTGCTTTACTCAAAGTTCACTAGTTTAAAAGGTAAGCTCATCTGAAAAATACTTTCACAGCAGCATCCAGACTGGTGTTTGACCAAACAACTGGGCACTGTATCCTAGCCAACTGGACACATAAGATGAACTATCACAATGAGTAAACTTCTCTCTGAGCCTCAGCTTCCCCATTTTAAAATGAAGAGCTATGAGAATATTCAAAGATTCCACTAAGGAATAATTATAATTAGATAACTTCTGGATTACACTTTATAATTTAATGCATTTTCACCACATCATATCATTTAATTCCTGTAACAACTCCATCAAGCAAATTTGTTATTGTCTTCTTTTTAATTTTTTTCTTTTTTTTTGAGACAGAGTTTTGCTTTTATTGCTCAGGCTGGAGTGCAGTGGCGCAATCTCAGCTCACTGCAACCTCCGCCTCCCGGGTTCAAGCAATTCTCCTGCCTCAGCCTCCCAAGTAGCTGGGGTTACAGGCACTCACCACCATGCCTGGCTAATTTTTTTGTATTTTTAGTAGAGACGGGGTTTTACCATGTTGGCCAGGCTGGTCTCAAACTCCTGACCTCAGGTGATCCACCCACCTCAGCCTCCCAAAGTGCTGGGACTACAGGTGTGAGCCACCACGCTCAGCCTTTAAATTAATTTTATTTATTTATTTAGAGACTGAGTCACGCTCTATCGCCCAGGCCAGAGTGCAGTGGCACAATCTCGGCTCACTGCAAACTCCGCCTCCCAGGTTCAAGCCAATTCTCCTGCCTCAGCCTCTCGAGTAGCTGGGATTACAGGCGTGTGCCACCCTGCCCAGCTGATTTTTGTATTTTTAGTAGAGACGGGGTTTCACCATGTTGGCCAGGCTGGTCTCGAACTCCTGACCTCAAGTGATCTGCCTGCCTTGTCCTCCCAAGGTGCTGGGATTGCAGGCGTGAGTCACCACACCTGGCCTATTTATTTTTTAAGAGACAGGGTCTCTCTGTTGCCCAGGCTGGAGTGCAGTGGCACCTTCTTAGCTCACTGCAGCCTCAAACTCCTGGGCTCAAGCAATCCTCTCTCCTCAGCCTTCTGAGTAACTGGGACTACAGGAGCGTGCCACAACACCTGGATAATTTTTGTGTGTGTGTGGAGACGGCCTCACTAGGTTGGCCAGGCTGGTCTCAAACTCCTGGCCTCAAATGATCCTCTTGCCTTGGCCTCCCAAAGTGCTGGGATTATAGGTGTGAGCCACCATGCCTGGACTGTCTTCTTTTTTATAGATGAGGAAACCAAGGCCCAGAGAGGGGAAGAGATTTGTTGGCAAGTGGCAGAATCTGGATTAGAGCCTGGATTTTCCAATTTCAGTCTCAGGCTGATCCTTCTGGGACTGAAGAACCATCTTTGAGAGCTGAGGCCAGGAGGGAGTTGCTGGGAGCAGGAAGCTGAAGCAGGGGCAGAGGGGACCTCACTACAGAAACTCAAGAGGAAAACCACAACAGCAGGAAGTCCAAGTGGGCCTGGTCAGGCCAACCTAGGAATTCCACGGTGTAATTTCTCTTCTCCAATTGAGAGAATACAAGTATGGCCAGGGCTCAGCACCTAGTGTATTAAGGACTCCTAATTTGGGGTTTATGATAACTCATAAAAAATATGGCAAAAGATACATTTTAAAGGTGGTCAGAAAAGCTGGGCCATTGTTCTTTACTCACCAGGAGTCATGTAGCACTTACCGTTGCCAGAATATTCTCTTACAAATCTATTCCAAAGCTACACCTTCATGGCACTCCCAAACCAAAGCTGCAAAAAGACTTTCAGTAGACAGATTAGAAACAGAGCAAGGCCTTCTGGTAAGATATTCTATTTATTTTGACTTGGTATTACCTCTGTCTAATTATAGGATCCCAGAGGAACAAAGCTAAGTTTAACATTAAAACTCAGTGTTAATGGAGTAGGGAGTAGGGAGAATCTCAAATGAGTCAACTCTGCAAAACCTGTCAAGAAGCTCTCATCCCCATATTGAACTTGAGTTGGAAGAGGCAAGTCTGGTCTCAAGATGGAGGTAAAACTGCTGCCGGTTGCCCCCAGCCCGGCTCCGGCCATCGCCGTTGCTGCCAGGGGGAGGAGGGCCATGATCCAAAGGAACGAGAGCAGTTGAGAAAACCGTTTATTGGTGGTCTGAGCTTTGAAACTACAGATGATGGTTTAAGAGAACATTTTGAGAAATGGGTCACACTCACAGATTGTGTGGTAATGAGAGACCCCCAAACAAAATGCTCCAGGGGCTTTGGTTTTGTGACTTATTCTTATATTGAAGAGGTGGATGCAGCAATGTGTGCTCCACCACACAAGGTTGATGGGTGTGTAGTCGAACCAAAGAGAGCTGTTTCCAGAGAGGATTTTGTAAAGCCTGGCGCCCATCTAACAGTGAAGAAAATTTTTGTTGGTGGTATTAAGATACAGAAGAATATAATTTGAGAGACTACTTTGAAAAGTATGGCAAGATTGAGACCACAGAAGTTATGGAAGACAGGCAGAGTGGAAAAAAAGAGAGGATTTGCTTTTGTAACTTTTGATGATCATGATACAGTTGATAAAATTGTTGTTCAGAAATACCACACTATTAATGGGCATAATTGTGAAGTGAAAAAGCCCCTTTCTAAATAAGAGATGCAGTCTGCTGGATCACAGAGAGGTTGTGGAGATGGATCTGGCAATTTTATTGTGGAAAAAACTTTGGAGGTGGTGGAGGTAATTTTGGCTGTGGTGGAAACTTTGGTGGAGGAGGAGGCTATGGTGGTGGAGGTGGTGGCAGCAGAGATAGTTATGGAGGAGGTGATGGTGGATATAATGGATTTGGAGGTGATGGTGGCAACTATGGCGGCGGTCCTGGTTATAGTAGTAGAGGGGGCTATGGTCGTGGTGGACCAGGATGTGGAAACCAAGGTGGTGGATATGGTGGCGGTGGTGGAGGATATGATGGTTACAATGAAGGAGGAAATTTTGGCCGTGGTAACTATGGTGGTGGTGGGAACTATAATGATTTTGGAAATTATAATGGACAACAGCAATCAAATTAAGGACTCATGAAAGGGGGCAATTTTGGTGGAAGCAGCTCAGGCAGTCCCTATGATGGTGGTTATGGATCTGGTGGTGGGAGTGGTAGATATGGTAGCAGAAGGTTCTAAAAACAGCAGAAAAGGGCTACAGTTCTTAGCAGGAGAGAAAGCAAGGAGTTGTCAGGAAAGCTGCAGGTTACTTTGAGACAGTCGTCCCACATGCATTAGAGGAACTGTAAAAATCTGCCACAGAAGGAGCAATGATCCATAGTCAGAAAAGTTACTGCAGCTTAAACAGGAAACCCTTCTTGTTCAGGACTGACACAGCCACAGTTTCCAAAAAGTGCAGCTACTGATTAATGCAATGCAGAGTCAATTAGATGTACATTCCTGTTATATCTTTTTTTCTTTTCATTACATCAGATATATTGCCCTGTAAATTGTGGTAGTGGTACCAGGAATAAAAAAATTAAGGAATTTTTAACTTAAAAAAAAAAAACCGTCAAGAAGCCAAATGTCCCAAGCACTTCATGACTGGAAAAGCTAATGGCTGGCTCTTTAACACTCCCATTCTCCTGTATTTTCCTTCTGCCTGGAGGCTTTGTGGGAGAATCCATTTCCTTGCCTTTTTCAGGTTCTAGAGACTGCTGCATTTTCTGGCTCTTGGCTTCTTCAGTGTGTTACTTGAGCCTCTTGCTTCCATCATCGTATCTCTTACTATTTTTTTTTTTTTTGGAGACAGGGTCTCACTTTGTTACCCAGGCTAGAGTGCTGTGGTGTGATCATTGCTCACTGCAGCCTTGAACTCCTGGGCTCAAGTGATCCTCCTGCCTCAGCCTCCTGAGTACCTAGCACTACAGGTGCACATCATCATGCTTGATTAATTAAAAAATTTTTTTTTGTAGAAACAGGGTCTCACTATGTTGCTCAGGCTGGTCTCAAACTCCTAACCTTAAGCGATACTCCCTTCTTGGCCCCTCAAAGCATTGGGATTACAGATATCAGCACATCTCCTACCTTTTTTATTTTAGAGATGAGGTCTCTGTTGTCTAGGCTGGAGTGCAGTGGCACAATTATAGCTCACTGCAGCCTCCAACTACTGGACTCAAGCAGTCCTCCCTGCTTAGCCTCTGGAGTAGCTGGGACTACATGTACATGCCTCCACACCTGGCTAAATTTTTCATTTTTATCTTTGTAGAGATGGGATCTCGCTATGTTGCCCAGGCTGGTCTCAAACTCCTGGCTTCAAGCGATCCTCCTGCCTCGACCTCCCGAAGTACTGGGGTTACAGGCATGAGCCACCACTCCTGGCTGATCTCCTACTATTGACTTTGATCCTCCTGCCTCCCTAAGGGTCCATGTGAATATATTGAACCCATCTGGATAATACAGGATAATCTCTCTTCAAGATCCTTAATTTAATCACACACACAAAGTCCCTGTTGCTGTGTAACATATCCACAGGTTCTGTGGATTATGACATGGACATCTTTGTGGGGCCATTATTCACCCAAACACAATGGGTAATGGGTACATGGGGGTTTGTTCTATTCTACTTTTGAATATGTTTGAATAAAAATTATGCAAGAAAACCTTCTTTTGACCCCAAGACCCGTTACCACCAGAATTTTGAATTTTTACTCCCTTAACTAGTAAAACTTCCTAAACATTTTCTGCAGCTCGTCTCCACTTCCTTGTCTCCCATTCTCTTTAAGCTACATCCAATCAGGCTTTTAACTTTCATCTCTCCACCCAACCCAATCAAAGCCACCAACTCCAACTCACCTCATCTAATAGTCATTCACTACCCACTTCTTGTTGAAACATTTACATTTCTAAGTTTATATTAAATGCTCTCCTGGGTATTAATCTTCAACCTTGACATCTACTGCTCTCTGCCTGATCTTAAGTGTGGGAAGGACTGAGGCCCAGTCTCAGGCCTTCTACTTGTCTTTCTTTCTGTCCCTTGAATGTGCCAAACATTTCCCACCTTGACTTTTGCACTGTTCTTTCCTTCCCTGAGACCCTCCTCCAGATGTGTGCATTATCAGCTCCTTCTTATCATACTTCTCAGCTCAAGTGTCACTTCCTCAGAGAGGCCTTCTGTAACCCCCTAAGTTAATTAAAAATCTAAATTAACTTTCCATAACTCCCAATATCCCATTACCCTGTTCCATTTTCTTTACTTATCGCTATGTGAACTTAGCTTCTTGATTGACTGTTCTGTTCACTTAACTTTGTGTCTGCTCACCCTGTGCTCTTTAAAGGAAAATACTGTATTTTGTCTTGTTTATTGCTGAGTCCCTAGCACCTGGTACATGTTAAGTGTTCAACAGATACCTGTTCAAATAAACTGATGAATGGCTCAGGTTTTTAAAATGAATACATGGAAAAAAAAAATGGCCTGATATCAGATTCTTTAGTAATTCTCATAAACTAAAAGATTCTGGTTCAGGCCGGGCGCGGTGGCTCACACCTGTAATCCCAGCACATTGGGAGGCTGAGGTGGGAGGATCACCTGAGGTCAGGAGTTTGAGACCAGCCCGCCCAACATGGTGAAACCCCGTTAAAAATACAAAAATTAGCTGGGCATGGTGGCGGGCACCTGTAATCCCAGCTCTTCAGGAGGCAGAGGCAGGAGAATCACTTGAACCCAGCAGGCGGGTTCAACTAGTGAGCTGAGATTGCACCACTGCACTCCAACCTGGCAACAGAGCAAGACTCCATATCAAATAAATAAATAATAAATATGAGATTCTGATTCAATAAACATGGGTGGGGTCTAAGAATCTTCATTTTAACAAATACCACAGAAAACTCTGGGGCAGGGGTTCACAGAACATGTTTTTTGAGAAGCACTGATTTATTCATTCTTGTAAGCTTTATGTAGGTAGGCAGCAGAGTTTTAAAGAGGTATGAGGATTTTCAGAATTGAGTCACTTTGCGAAGTTCATAACGAGTCAGTAAGTAAATTCTAAGAAGGCAGAAACAAATTCTAATTTTAAAAAACAGCCTATCCTCACATGTAAGTTACACAAACACACAAATTACCCTATCTATTGTATGCTGGTCATAAATTCTTGGCCTTCACCTCAGTCATCAAAACAAAGCCTAGACTTCTATAACTCCATTTCAAAGAATGAATTCCTCAGACCAAAACAAGAAATATTTGTTTAAAGGAATCGTCAGCAGAGAAAAATGTGATTCTTGAAAAAAAGGATTAAAGAAAATGAAATCTTAGCTTTAAAAGTACACTGTGTTGATGAGAGAAGTGAGCACAAGTTGCTCTGAAGGGGTAAATGTGGAAGGAAGATTTGCCTTCCACAGTGATCAAAATGGGCGGATGTTTGAAGAGTAATTCCAGATGCTCCCTGTTAACATGGCATTATTGCCCCACAGGCAACAGTGGAGTCCGGTGGTGGTGGTGGGATTGTGTGCATGAGGGGGTGATCAAATTGGACTCTGGTTTGACTAACAATAATATGCCAACTTTGACAAGTAGAGCCAGCTGTTGATTGGCATTTGGAATTTGACAGAGTGCTACTGTCCACTCAAATGATTTTTTTTTTTTTTTTAAAGATGGAGTCTCGCTCTGCCGCCCAGGCTGGAATGCAGTGGCGCAATTTCGGCTCACTGCAACCTCCGCCTCCCGGGTTCAAGCAATTCTCCTGCCTCAGCCTCCTGAGCAGCTGGGATTATAGGCACACACCACCATGCCTGGCTAATTTTTGTATTTTTAGTAGAGACGGGGTTTCACCATGTTGGCCAGGCTGGTCTTGAACTCCTGACCTCAAGTGATCCGCCCGCCTTCGCCTACGAAAGTGCTGGGATTACAGGCGTGAGGCACCGTGCCCGGCCTCAAATGATATTTTAAAACTCTACTTTGTTACAGAGAAAACCAATCAGCACTGTATTCGCTTTTTCATTTTATAAATTTCAGAAATCAAGCTTTTGATATGATCCTGGGTAACAGCCCACCTTTAAAGAGGTAGTACCTTGCCTAGCTCAGAGTAGCAATTAACACATATTTTATCTAAGATCTACCTTTATTAAAATCCTGATTAAACAGAAAACCACATACTGCATGTTCTCACTTGTAAGTGGGAGCTAAACACTGAGTACACATGGATACAAAGAAAGGAACCACAGACACTGGGGCCTGTTGAGGGTGGAGGGAGAGGATCGAAAAACTACCTATTGGGTACTAACTACGCTTATTACCTGGGTGACGAGGTAATCTATACACCAGTCCCCCATGAGACGCAAGTTACCTATATGACAAATCTCCGTAAGTACCCTTGAACCTAAAAGTTAAAAAACAATAATGAATAAATAATAAATAAAATCCTCATTAAACTCCAGAGCACTTACAAATGTCAAACTAATGTTGTCAATTTCTTGAGGTATTTTCTCCCTTCCTTTTACTTGCCAGTAACTCTTGCTTTTAGCTCACCTTTTAAAGATGAATACGGTCTAGAGCAGTCCTGTCCAGTAAAAATATAATGCAATCACAAATGCAAGCCATGAATGTGATTTTAAACTTTCTAGTAGCCGTATTAGAAAAATAAAAACAGGTGAAATTATTTTAAATTACCATTTTAACATGTAACCAGTATTTCAAAATGGAGACTTTTTTTTTTTTGAGACAGAGTCTTGCTGTGTCACCAGGCTGGAGTGCAGTGGCACAATCTCAGCTCACTATGACCTCTGCCCTCCGGGTTCAAGCGATTCTCCTGCCTCAGCCTCCCAAGTAGCTGGAATTACAGGTGCATGCCACCACACCCGGCTAATTTTTTGTATTTTCAGTAGAGACGGGGTTTCACCATATTAGCCAGGATAGTCTCGATCTCCTGACCTCATGATCCGCCCGCCTTGGCCTCCCAAAGTGCTGGGATTACAGGCGCGAGCCACCACGCCTGGCTGAGACATTTTTCATTCAAACTTTTAGATACTAAGTCTTTGATATCTGATATCCAGTGTGTATTTTATAGCACATCTCAATTTGGACTAGCCACATTTCGAGTATTTAATAGCTACATGTAGCTAGGAGCTACATATTGGACAGTAAAGGTCTAGAGCTTTGCTACTCAATGTGTAGTCCACAAATTAGAGGCACTTTCAAAATATTTCTGCTCATAGACAATATACCTGATCACCCAAAAACTTACAAGATGAATGTTGTTTTCATGCCTGCTACCATAACACCTATTCTGCAGCATATGGATCTGGAGTAATTTCAACTTTCAGGTCTTATTATTAAATACATTTCACAAAGCAATAGCTGCCATAGACAGTGACTTCTCTAATGGATCTGGACAAAGTAAATAAGTAAATTAAAAACCTCTTGGAGGCCAGGTGCAGTGGCTCACGCCTGTAATACTAGCACTTTGGGAGCTGAGGTGGGCAGATCTCTTGAACCCAGGAGACCAACCTGGGCAACATGGTGAGACCCTATCCCTACAAAAGATACAAAAATCAGCCAGGTGTGACAATGGCATGTGCCTGTAGTCCCAGCTACTTGGGAGGCTGAGGTGGGAGGACCACCTGAGCCTGGAAGGTCGAGGCTGCAGTGAGCTATGATCACACCACTGCACTCCAGCCTGGGCAACAGAGCAAGACCCTGTCTCAAAAAACAAAACTAAACTTTCCCTCCTAGAAAAGACTCACCATTCTAGATGCCATTAAGAACATTTTGTGATTCATAGGAAGAGGTCAAAATATCAACATTAGGGCCGGGTGTGGTGGCTCACTCCTGTAATCCTAGCACTTTGGGAGGCTGAGGCAGGTGGATCACTTGAGGTCAGGAGTTCAAGACCAGCCTGGCCAAGATGGTGAAACCCCATCTCTACTAAAAATATAAAAATTAGCCAGGCGTGGTGGCATGCGCCTGTAATCCCAGCTACTTGGGAGGTTGAGGCAGGAGAATCACTTGAACCTAGGAGGCAGAGGTTGCAGTGAGCCGAGATCATGCCATTGTACTCCAGCCTGGGCCACAGAGTAAGATTCTGTCTCAAAAAAAAAAAAAAAAAAAAAAAAAAAAAAAAAAAATCAACATTAACAAGGGTTTGAAAGAAGTTGAATCCAACCCTCATGATTTTGAGGGGTTCAAAACTTCAGTGGAGGAAGAAACTGCAGATGTGGTAGAAATAGCAAGAAAGCTAGAAGTGGAGCCTGAAGATAGGACTGAACTGCTGCAATCTCATGATAAAACTTGAAAGGATGAGGACTTACTTCTTATGGATGAGCAAAGAAAGTAGTTTCTTGAAATGGAATCTACTCCTGGTAAAGATGTAACCATTGTTGAAATAACAAAGGACTGAGACTATTACATAGACTTAGTTGATAAAGCAGCAGCAGGGTTTGAGGGGACTGACTCCAATTTTGAAAGAAGTTCTATTGTAGGTAAAATGCTATCAAACCACATCGTGTGCTCTAGCAAAATCTTTTACAAAAGGAAGAGTCAATCAATGTGGCAAACTTCATTGTCTTATTTTAAGAAATTTCCATAGCCACTCCAACCTTCAGCAACCACCACCCTGATTAGTTAGCATCCATCCACCAACAAAGGCAAGACCCCCCAACCACCAACAAAACGAATGTAACTTGCTAAAGGCTCAGATAATTGTTAGCATTTTCTTTAGCAATAAAGTATTTTAAAATGAGGGTATATACATGTTTTTTCTTTTTGGAGATAATGCTATTGCACATCTAAGAGACTGCTATATAGTGTAAACATAACTGTTATATGCACTAGGAAATGAAAGAGTCTGGTGACTCACTTTATTGCAGTGTTTGCTTTACTGCAGTGGTCTGGAACCAAACCTGCAGTATCTCTGAGTTATGCTAAGCTGCCTTGTTAGTTCACCTGGCCTTCCATCCCAAACCGTGTTATTTCCTGTGGCTCCAGTCTATAATCCACAAGCAGAACTTAAGGACAGCAAAAATGTTTATTTGAAAAAATTACTATGTATTGAAAATATACATTAGAAATTATTACATACTTCCATAGCATTCCCCTCCCACACCACAAAAGTAGAAATATCTGCTTACTATGCTAATGCCATAGGTAAATTCAAACAAAAAGTAAATCATCCTCAGTCTCCTTTACTCAAACACTAGAGCTGGGGGCCAGAGAAAGGTCAACTTGTATCTACTAATCAATAGGAATTTAACAAGTCCCAGTCTTCCACAGCAAGACATACATATTTCTGCTTTGAAGGTTGTGAAGAGTTATTCTGTTCTGTCTCTGACTCCTCAAAAGGTCTCTTCTTGCTCTTCTTTGACTCCTGGCTTGAGATAGCTTCGTGTTTCAACACTGGCCCATGGCAATCTGGGGCTTTCTCTTTATAGAACTGGAGTTTCTCGGAAGAGTTCATGTGGGTGTCTGCCAGGGGACACTTCAGTGGGGCTTCTGCTCGAGACCGCTTCCCATCTGTGACAGAAGGGAGGGATGATGAGTTCACTACACTGGCATATGCTAATTCCCTCATCAGTCTAGGATAAACCCAGGGATATGACAAAGGCCCAAACAGGGTGATATCTGCATTGATTGCATTTTGCCTTGAGTGCCCTGTGAGGTCGCTGTGGTGTGCATGGCGGCACAGGTTGGAGGCATACTACAGTCTGACAGATTTGGATTTAAATCCTAGATCTGCCTCTTCCTAGAAGTGACCGTGGGTAAGTGACTTGTCTGAGATTCTGTTTAATCACCTCTAGAGGGATACAAAACCTATTTCATAAGGGTGATATGAAGATACATGAGATCATGTACATAAAGTGATTAGCACAATGCTTGACACACACTAAAGGCCACAAAAATGACAGCCTTCATTATTCGAAATCTGGATTTGACTCTAAGAGCCAAATAGCAAATGATACAACCTATTTTACATTTTTTTGGTATGCCCTGGATTCTTATTTAGTACCTTTACATTTCCTTCACTTTGATTTCATCATTTACTTCCTTTTCTTTTAAAATCATGATAAAATATACATAACATAAAGTTTACTATTTTAGCCATTTTTAAGTGTACAGTTCAGTGGTATTAAGGGCATTCACACTGTTGTGCAATCATCACCATCCATCTCCAGAACTCTTTTTATCTTGTACAAATGAAACTCTGTACCTATTAAACAATAACTCCCTATTCCTGCCCGTGCCACCCCCGCCTCCCTAGTCACAACCACCATTCTGCTTGCTCTACGAATCTAACTATTCTAGGTACCTTATACAAGAACAATCACACAATATTTGTCCTTTTGTGACTAGCTTATTTTGCTTAGCATAACATCTTGCAGGCTCATCCATGTTGTGTCGGTTTCCTTACTTTTAAAGCCTGAAATACATTGTATGTATATTTCACATTTTGTTTATCCATTTATCTGTTGATGGGACACCTGGGCTGCTTCCACCCTCTGGCTACACTCAATTCCTTTTTCATCTTCTGTATTCTATATAGCTTTTGTACCACCACAAATCTTTTTTGGAACAAGATGGTACGTAAGTAAGTAATTTTAAAAAGCTGTCTTCCTGGTGCTGGTGCTCAAAGCTAAGTGTGAACTTATACTGTAAGCTATGCTAAGGGAATACAAGTCTTGGTGATCATAAATAAGCCAATACTATCATAATTAATTTTTCCAAGGAGGGAAAACAAGCGAACTGCTTTAAGGATGCAAATAAAGGGCAAAAAACTTCAAAGGAAAGGGAATTTCTCACAGAAGCGCTGAGCTGCTGCTCTAGGCTCCGAGGTCTCCCGTGGCTTCACAGCTTCCGCAGTCACACGCTCCCACTGCAGAACGATCTGAAACATATTTGGAAAGATTTGAATCCAAACAAAATATTGAGATTTTAATCTCAAGCCTTTCTTGTTCCCCCTTTTTCCCTCTCCATAAACACAAACCCCTCTGGTAAATTTAACTTCAGATGACTGGTGATAAGAATAAGAACCAAGTCAAGTCTGCATTTTCTGTTCTAATGCAGGAGTTGAGTCAGAATGCAAACACGTTGGATATATGTATCTGCATGACTAAGAGAAATCTATAAAGCTGATTTCACTGTCTATTTTCATCTTTATTCCAAGCTGGAAATAAATTACATATCCTTAAACTAAATACTAAAACTTAAAACTTTAGTCATAACACTTTCCACACATTCCTAGACTTACTCTCGTGCCTTAAAATATGCCAACTATAACTCAAACTTTTGTATGTAAAATGCCCATGTTTCCATATTCTCATAACATACCATGATCAGTTTTTACTTTTTAAACTGTTAAAAATATATTTTTATTATAAGCTGCTACCAATTCTTTTAGAAATATGTGGCCGGGCGCGGTGGCTCACGCCTATAATCCCAGCATTTTGGGAGGCCGAGGCGGGCGGGTCACGAGGTCAGGAGATCGAGACCATCCTGGCTAACACAGTGAAACCCCGTCTCTACTAAAAATACAAAAAAAAAATTAGCTGGGCAGGCGCCTGTAGTCCCAGCTACTCGGGAGGCTGGGGCAGGAGAATGGCGTGAACCCGGGAGGCAGAGCTTGCAGTGAGCTGAGACAGTGCCACTGCACTCCAGCCTAGGTGACAGAGCGAGATTCTGTCTCAAAAAAAAAAAAAGAAAAGAAAAAAGAAATATGCCTGAATATAAACTATACATTAAGAAAAGCAAATGATCATTTCAATATACCATGAATAACAAGAACTTTAAATTTAATATTTGTTTATTATGGAATGCAATGAAATGACCATAAAAAAGGTCAAGAAAAACATTTTCAGGACATAGGCAGCCCAACACAGAGTTTAAGAATACAGTTCCAGGCCAGGCTCAGTAGCTCACGCCTGTAATCCCAGCACTTTGAGAGGCCGAGGCAGGCGGATCACAGGAGTTCGAGACCAGGCTGGCCAACATGGTCAAACCCTGCCTCTACTAAAAAATACAAAAATTAGTCAGGCATGGTGGTCCCAGCTACTCGGGAGGCTGAGGCATGAGAATCACTTGAACCCGGAGGTGGAGGTTGCAGTGAGCCAAGATCACACCACTGCACTCCAGACTGGGCGACAGAGCGAGACTCTGTCTCCAAAAAAAAAAAAAACAAAAAAAAACAATACAGTTCCAGGCCAGGCACAGTGGCTCACATCTGTAATCTTTGCACTTTGGGTGGCCGAGGCGGTAGGATCCCTTGCGCCCAGGAGTTCGAGACCAGCCTGGGCAACATGGTGAAACCCCATCTCTATTTAAAAACAAACAAAAAACCAGTTCCAGAGTTGGCTCCACCACTTATTTGCCAGGGGACCCATGGCAAGTGATTTCTTAGTCTCAATTTCTTCATCTGTAAGGATCAATGATAGTACACATTCCATAGGGCTGTTTTAAGGATTAAATGAGATAATACACATAAAGAGTTTAGCACAGTGTCTGGCACACAAAAGGCACTTAATAAATATTAGTTGCCATCTTTTCTATAATTTTCTGGTTATAAAAATGGGAACAGATTTCAGGGAACACCAGGATGGATTAATAGAACATGTTGACTCAGTGGGCAATAGGGAAAATGGTGCTTCCTTCCGCTAAACAGAAATAAGAATGTCAATAAGAGCTGGTCGGGGATGGGGAAGAAGAAAATGAGTTTGGTTCGGGACAAGCTGAATTTGAGGTGGCAGGTGGAGATTTACAGAGGATACTTGGGAATGAGTCTAGTGTCTGAGAGAGGAATGCAGAGTCATCCTCGCAAGGACAGCTGGAGCTCTGAGAACAGTGAAAGAGCACCTGGGGAGTGTGGAGATGTGGGAGAAGAGGAGAGGAAGAAAGAGGAATCAGTCATAGCCAGAGGAGTGAGAAAGTTGGGGGAGAGCCAGGAGAGAGGCCCAGAGAAAAATACATAAGTCATGCATGTTTCTATCGAATGCTGCAGGAAAGCCAAGGAAGGTGAAGAATATCTCCTTCAAGAGGACACTGTCAGGAGAGCAGGGGAGGCCAGAACTAAATCGCAAGGGAGTAAGAACTGAGTAGGCAAGGAGGGGGTGGGACAGACTGGACAGGAAACAATGCACAGCTGCACTGGGGAATGAGGACCAAGCTAGAATAAGGACACCTTGTGTTTATCCACAGAAAGCAGATAGCCAACAAAGGGGGACAATGAAGATGGGGGGGGGGTGGGCAGGAGGGGAAAATAATTATTAGTAAATAGCACAAGGGAAGTTGGAGATCTTAGGGAACAGAATTTTTTAAAAAAGAAAAAAAGGGCTTGTGACTGGAATAAAGGAGCATACTTGTTCTCTCGGATAGAAGGGAAGTGTAATACGGTTGAAGAAATGGAGAAATTCTGAGACAGAAATAGGGAAGTAAGTGGACCCTTGTGAGATGAGAATGAGGACAGGTGAGTGGAATCAGCCTGAAACAGTTTCAATAACAGATCCCCAAGACATAGGCAAAGCACTGCTGCCACGCCCTAGGGGCCCAGCTGAGGGCGGAGGGCAGGAAGCTGCACTGGTCCAGTCAACTTACTCTCAGGCCAGGCTGCTAGGTGTTTTATTTGATCCTTCCTGAGCCCTGCTCAAGAGAGGTCCTGGTTTCTGCATTTTATGGATGAAAACACAGAGACTGAAAGTTGCTTTAGGTTGTACAGCTATGGGGTTGCTGAGCCAGGATTCCATGCCCAGGTCTTTCTGACTCCACAGCCTATGCTCTTTCCACCATGTCACCTGCTACCAAACTGCAGCAAGCCTTTGTAAGACCATCCCACACCTGTCCCACATCCACTGGATGCATCTAGGTCTCATACAGCACTAGAAACTTTGTCTGGCAATGCACCATGATAATTATTTCATCATGCATGTTCTGGACCAAGCTCAGTGTGCTTCTGAAACACGACTCAGCAGTCTCCCTGCTTACCTGTGGAGAGGTGACGCTACAATCCAGCAGGTGGATAGTTCTACCATCCTGCATTATGGCTTGGAGCTAAGAGGGGATCCAGGACAGTTTGGTGGGTCCTCTAGGCCTCCACCAAGAAACATTGGTTAAAAGCATCTAAGGGAGAAAGGCCCCAGCCACAGGGAAGGTGGCATCTACTTGTGCTGTCCTACTTGGTTACTTTCACACTTCCAACTTACATAGAAGACTCTGAATCTCACTTAAGTCTGTACTCTACCAAGTGAAGAAAGACCATCAAGACAAAAGGAAGTCAAAGTAAAGTTCTCTCACTGTTAAGACTCAGTGAGAGAAGGACAAGAAAGACACCTCCTCACTAAGGCTGTGGGAGGTAAGAAACTTTCCCAAAACAAAGAGAAGAATCATATTTGAATCTTTATTTGCATGACACCGGAGTTTATTCTCTCTCCTGTATATACACACTACTAAGAGAATCTGTCCTTCTGAAGTTGGGTCAGACTGCTTTTTTGTGTAGCAAGCCAGAATTCACTTATTTTCTGAGTCATCTGTAAGATGACATTTTCTCCTAGGTCCAGTAAAGATAAGGCACAACCTAGTGACCAGAGCATGAGATATAAGGTCTGGCGCCAATTCTTTAAGCACGTGGGCCAGTTATAGCCCATCAGTGTCTCCAATTTGACATGAAGATGACAATTTAACCAAGGACTACCAAGTGGATTACTGTTTATTCAATGTGTTGGATAAGACACTTGGAATTAAGATGAAAAGCTGCATCAACCGCAAGGAAGAAAAATCTGGAGTACCTGGTCAGCCCAGCCCTCTGTCTTGCAGTTACTATGATCAAATTCCTTCAAAGGCACTTTGGAGTGAACAAGGCCTATGTGGGTCTGGAGCTTGTGCTTGACGGTTTTGATGTCCTAGTGAGGCAGAGACAGATCAGAAATGCAAATACATTTGGTTAATTCTTACTTGTTTTCAGTAGTAAATAAAGACCATCATAAATACCAGCCCTTTCTAAATACCAATTAGCACAGGCAAAATATCAAATTGTTGAGTCTAGAAAAATGAGAGAAGGAACCAAAAGTCTTACCTTGAGCCCTGTCCCAGAGATATCTAAGCAGTTTAGTTTCCTAAAAGAAAAGAGGTATCCAATGCCTGCATCTGTGATCTCAGGGTTACCTAGATGTCAAAAACAACGTAGCATTCTGTCACAATATAAATGCTGTTAAAATGACAACCAAAAATAAGCTCAGAAAAACGTCCGGGCAATGATAAACTATAAAACATTTGAGTTGGCAAACTTTTCAAAGTAAATTAAATACAGAGGTCTGATCTTTACTATTTGTAATATAAAAGAGCCACACTCAATGATCCCTAAAGATCCTTTACAGCTCTTACTTTCTAGGAGTTGGGGGTGAGCAGAAAAATAAATGAACCAGGTAGTTATCCCAAAGGGTTTAATTTGGAACCATATGAAAACATACATAAACATGTATTACAATGGTTTATCATACTTTATTCATGGCCATTTCACCTCCAAAGTAAAAGCATTTATTTATTTTAAAAAGATATTCAAGGGAACTTAGACACAGATACTATCACCACTCTTACCAACTTGCATTATTTTCAGAATCCTTTCTTATATATTACTTTCTCACGTCAGAGAGTACTACACTTAGCATTGAGTCCTCAAGGCCATAAGCGTAGTGCCTGGCACATTGTAGATGCTCAAAAAATATTTGTTGAATGAATACACTTCCCTGGGAGGTAGGGAGGACATTCATTATTTCTTTTTTTTTTTTGAGACAGAGTCTTGCTCTGTCACCCAGGCTGGAGTGAGTGACGCAATCTTGGCTCACTTGCAAGCTCCGCCTCCCGGATTCACGCCATTCTCCTGCCTCAGCCTCCCGAGTAGCTGGGACTACAGGTGCCGGCCACCACGCCCAGCTGATTTTTTGTATCTTTTTAGTAGAGACGGGGTTTCACTGTGTTAGCCAGGATGGTCTTGATCTCCTGACCTCGTGATCTGCCCGCCTCGGCCTCCCAAAGTGCTGGGATTACAGGCGTGAGCCACCGCGCCCAGCCAGGACATTCATTATTATCCTCATTTTACAAAGGCCAAAACCAATGCTCAAAGTGGTTAAATAACTGGTCTGAAGGTATATAACTGGTAGTAAAAGTGGTAGACCAAGAAGGGTCCTCAGACCTCAAACCACTGCTCTTTCTATTCTTTTGGCATCATACTGTCCTGCCATAGAGTCAATGGATGCTCGGTTAAATTGTAAATGATCTCTGTCAACCTCTTACCATTGGAGTCAATATCTGGTTAATCTGAGTAAATTATCCGTTCATCCAGCTTTTCATCAGGCAAACACTGATAAAAAAGGACCTAGCTGACAGACACCAAGGATCAGAGACTCAAGGAAAATAAAGATGAGTCAAATGTCCTTTAAGTATGCAATGAATATGATGAAAGGTGTCTCTGTTTGCACACAGCGAGTGGCATGGATGAATGTGTAAGGGTTTTTCCTACCCTAAAGAGGTGGTATGTGCTAGAAAAATCAGTTGGCCAGGAGTCAAGAGTCTTTGGCCTCAATCCTGTTCTGCCACCAAGTTTCTATGGCACCGAGGAAAGTCACCTTTCCTTTCTCACCTCTAAAATGAAGAGGAAGAACTACATGATCTCTAAGGCCATTCTTCCAACATTAAAATAATCTATAATTTCGAAGAAAACTTACATGATAAGTCTAATAATGTTAGATTCTCAAGGCCTCTTTTCATCACTCGAACTGGTGCTGTCATCTTCCGCACCCCAGCATCAGATAAACAATTATCCTTCAGGTGGAGCTGAGTTACACTAGGGAAACAAAGTACATACATAAATTACTCAAAGAGAGTTTGAGACAATCTAGGTATAAAAACATGCTTTCAACATTTTCATTTAAAAATATAACATATCCTCTACCTCTTGCTATTTCATACCCAATGCATTTAACAAAGTTAAGCTCTTTTGGGCTGGGCATGGTGGCTCATGCTTGTAATGTCAGCACTTTGGAAGACTGAGGCTGGAGGATCACTTGGGCCCAGGAGTTAGAGACCCCATCCCTGCAAGAAATTTTAAAAAATTAGCTAGCCAAGGTGCTGTGTGCCTGTGGTCCCAGCTACTTGGGAGGCTGAGGCAGGAAGATGGCTTCAACCAAGGATTTCAAAGCTGCAGTGAGCTATGATTGCACCACTGCACTCCAGCCTAGGTGACAGAACATGACCCTGCCTAACAAAAAAAAAAAAAAAAAGATTTTTTGGTGCCATTTCAGTTACCAAGTGAGAGTTAATTTAGTGTCATGCAGTACTAATTTCAGAGGGCAGAGGGCACTAAAGGTATATTGTTGAATGAGGTAAATGGACTTCCACTAGGGGATAAATATACTTTAAAACAAAAGCTGCTTTTCTGACAAATGGTGTGAAAATCAAAAACATTCTAACTATGTCAGGAAAGTCTGCTAAAGAACTCCTATGAGAATTATTTTTGCAAAGCAAACAATCCTCTAAATTTAACCAGCTTTATCAATCTAGATTTTCAGTTTGGGTTAATAAGGTATACCCATAATCCAATCCATCTGATGCTAAGCTGGAATTGGTATATTAATATGCTCCGTTTTCACATAAGAAATCTGAGCCTTGATGCTGGCTAGCCTCACACAACAGCATCTTTTTATGGGGCAGTAGGTAGGTGTCACTGTCAGAAGCAGGCCTCAGGTAGTAGGTTAGACCTAGGTTTGTAATGCTGTTGTTCTTCTGGGTGTTTATAAAACCACAGAGGGATCCATCTGTCCTCCTCTTTGCTGGCCAGAATAACCTGAGATCAGTCAGACTATTTGTGAATGGTATGAACTGGGCCATTTCTTTAAATCATGACTCCTGAAAAGAATTTCTTTGGCTGTCTTTAATAGTTCATTTTCTTTATAATTGTAGCTCATTGATAGTTAAAGTAGCAAACGATAATGATTGTTGACTATGGTATAATGTCTCATCCCTTGCTAGAATAAACTAGGACTGGATAAATAAAGGGCAAAACCCAAGGTGGGTGGATCACCTGAGGTCAGAAGTTCGAGACCAACCTGGCCAACATGGCAAAACCCCCGTCTCTACTAAAAGTACAAAAATTAGCCGGCGTGGTGGGGGGCGCCTATAATCCCAGCTATCAGGAGGCTGAGGCATGAGAATAGCTTGAACCTGGAGGTGGAGGTTGCAGTGGGCCAAGATCACGCCACTGCACTCCAGCCTGGACAACAAGAGCAAGACTCCGTCTAAAGAAATAAATAAATAGGGCCAGGCGCAGTGGCTGACGCCTGTAATCCCAGCACTTTGGGAGGCTGAGGCGGGAGGATCACCTGAGGTCAGGACCTCGAGACCAGCCTGACCAACACGGAGAAACCCCGTCTCTACTAAAAATACAAAATTAGCTGGGCGTGGTGGTGCATGCCTGTAATCCCAGCTACTTGGGAGGCTGACGCAGGAGAATTGCTTGAACCTGGGAGGTGGAGGTTGCGGTGAGCTGAGATCGTGCCATTGCACTCCAGCCTGGGTGGCAAAAACGAAACTTTTGTCTCCAAAAAAAATAAAAATAAAAATAAATAAATAAGGGGCAAAACCACTTTTTAACCTACGTAGCTTCAAGTATTACATATTAAAATAAAAGTTACTTAGAAAAAAAGAGTCAACTAACTGACTTGAGTCAACTGACTGACTTTCTAAGGGTTGTCTAATCTATATTGCTTATACCAAGTAAATGGAGATTGAAAATGTTTTAGGAAAAAAAAGCAAATCAACATAAGAATGGGAAGTAATCAGCATTCCTGAAGATAATCCTGTTGGATCAGCCTTTAAAACAATACTGAAACAATTCATCTGCAAGTGGTGACAGGTCAGTACCTAGACAGGGCTTCATTGGTGAGATGTTCTAGAAGTTCATGCTCATCTCCAAGCTTGCAACAGGAAAGATCCAGGCAGGTCAGCTCCCGGAAAGACTTAATCTCCTCAAGCTTTTCTGAAATCACGAGATACCTACGGAGCGTGGAGAGCAATCAATAGCTTCCCCTCACTACTCTTAAAGCATTACCATTTGTGGATTTGTATCATAGTCAATATCCTACCATCCCATCAGGACACAGTACTATGGAATAAGCAGACTTCACTAATTACTATCAGGGCAAAGGCTGAATTTTTTAATTAGTAAATGCCTTGAACATCTTTTTATGTGATGGTAGAATAAAAATTTTGAATAAATAAATAAATAAATAAATAAATGTATATTAGCAAAGGAAAGTCACAAGTGAAACACCTGCTTTGTTATCAGGCAGACCTTGGCATTGGTGTTGGGACCTTACCTGAGAATTTCCAAACTTTAGGATACTCGAATTTTTAATTACTAATTCTTTTAAAGTTGCTTTTAATCTAATGCTCAACATCCAGTGATTTGAAAACTGGAGCAAGGTCAAGAACTCTCGTTTCCAATCTGCATGTCCCCAAGAACATACCAAGAGATATTTGGCACATCACATTTTATCTTTCCTGAACACTCCCCTGTGCCTGTTATCCTAACTTTACTCCAAAAGTATGTACAGCAAGACTGCTACAAGGACTCACTCCAGTCTAGATGGATATTAAGACAAACCCTGAGCACGAGCAACTTAATTACATTGCAGCACCTTGCCAAGTTGTTATCAGGAAGCATCAGGGAAGCCTCTGGAGAGGGAAAGGAGATCAAAACAGCATTCCACAGCCCAGGCTGGGGCCTCCACCCTGCTTTCTAGTGGTTCATCTATCTCAGATGAGGTCAGTGAGAAAAAATGAAAGGGATTAGGTGTGACAGGAAATGGAGAGGAGAGGAACCTAAGAGGACAGGGAAACTGACTTGTGGCAAGAGCAGGCCTCTCTCATCCACCTTCCTCTTGAATGTCTGGAAGTTTCCACAGCAAGATGGTGTGTTAGGATCAGTGGGGTTACACCTAAAAGAGTACATACCTCTCTTCCATCAGCAGGATCACAACTGCCAAAAACAGGATGGAATAATCAGAGGGCAAGAGAGGAGTTAATCTCTTTTCTTCCTACTTCCAACCAAAAAAAGATGTACTCAAACTAATCACCAGCCTGACAGCTAGGTACAGATGGTCTGAGGCACTGATACCCCCTTAAAGGGTGGAACCTAAGGTGCCTGGAGACCGAGCTCAGCTGGGTACACAAAAGAGCCTTATTTACTCAGATGTATTTTAATTGCATTGTAAATAAAGCTGCTGTTTTCCACCTTCCAATCACAGAGTTGAAGTGTGTTAATGGGGATTTAGAGGATTACTGGCAATCAGAGAAAGGAAAACACATATACTTTGATCAATTAACCAAAAGATTTTTAGTAATTCTGAAACAAGGGTTCTCTGCAAAGGACATAACACTGTGTAATGTGATTAAGAAACATTACGAAACTCAAGGTTGAGGAACAAACATGTTAGGCCACAGACATTACTAGGTGCTAATCTAGGACATAATCAAAGCTCTAGGTTCTTGCTTGCAACCAGTCTTCCAAATTTTCCCTTAAAGGGTTCGGAACAGTACAGTGGAAAAGCAATAGAAAGAGCACAGACCAGACCTGAGTTTGGATTCTAACAGCCCAATTACTTGTGTGATTGTGAGACAGTTACTTAACCTTTCTGAGCCTCAATTTCTCCAGCTACAAAATGGGGCTACAAAATTCTTTTCAGGATGATTAAGAAAAAGAGAAACAATATTTTAAAATTCCATGGCATCTTGCAAGACCTCATGAAATAGTAGCTATTACTATTATGTCAACAACAAAAAGTGATATTTTAAGGAAAACATACTTGCCTCCCTGTTACCACCAGTGGGATTAAAAATCACTGGGGTTTCAACACAAGGGAGAAGAGAGTTTTCGTAAGGTTGGAATTCAGTTGCAAAGACACTTGCTTCTGGCAGGTAGCTTTGTGACTTAACCCCAAGATAGCAAGTGCCTGCACCTACCCAGTTATTTTATTTTCATTTATTTTTTCAAGCTCATTACTTTTGACCTGAACCCCTTTGTGCTGACAAAACCTCTTGGACTGCAGCTACAGCCCTGGATTGCAAATGCAACCTCAAGTTTCCTGCCCTCTATTTGCCTTTAAGGATTCAAAAGGAGAAGAGAGGTTTTTGATAACAACTGAAAGTCTTACATTTGAATGAGACAGTCAAGTGTGGAATTGCTGCAATAAAATATGGGCTAAAAGATTATGTTGGCCGGGCGCGGTGGCTCACGCCTGTAATCCCAGCACTTTGGGAGGCCGAGGCGGGTGGATCACAAGGTCAGGAGATCGAGACCATCCTGGCTAACATGGTGAAACCCCATCTCTACTAAAAATACAAAAAATCAGCCGGGCGTGGTGGTGGGCACCTGTAGTCCCAGCTACTCGGGAGGCTGAGGCAGGAGAATTGCGTGAACCCGGGAGGTGGAGCTTGCAGTGAGCTGAGATCGAGCCACTGCACTCCAGCCTGGGTGACAGAGCGAGACTCCGTCTCAAAAAAAAAAAAAAAAAAGATTATGTTAAAATTGTTTCCTATATTTTCTGGCTGGGCATGGTCGCTCACGCTTGTAATCCCAGCACTTTGGAAGGCTGAGGTGGGTGGATCACTTGAGGTCAGCAGTTCGAAACCAGCCTGGTCAACATGGTGAAACCCTATCTCTACCAAAAAATACAAAAATTAGCTGGGCACGGTGGCGGGCGCCTGTAGTCCTGGCTACTCGGGAGGCTGAGGTGGGAGAATCACCTGAACCTGGGAGGCGGAGGCTGCAGTGAGCCAAGATCACGCCACTGCACTCAAGCCTGAGCAACAGAGTGAAACCTTGTCTCAGAAAGAAAAAAAAAGTTTCCTATATTTTCTGATTATTATATAAATGTAAATGTTTCTTACATTTTCTGATAATGTATCACTTTCATTGGAAAAAAATTAAGAAAATATAGGAAAGTATAAAGAATATAAAATCAATTCCAATCCCACCATCTAGACCGCTTTTTGGTAGATTTCTTTTTTCCTTCTATCTGTCCAATACATACATTTAAAAAATCTGTTTCTTAAAATATTATCTTAATAGTTACATAATATTTCATCATATAAATATACTATAATTTGCTTAACCAACTCCCTACTGTTGAACATTTAGTTTTTAGATTTTCACTTGTACAAACAGTACTACAATGAACACTCTTATGTAAAAATATCTGTTCCCATCTTTGATTATTACATTAGGGATCAGAATAGATTCTTAGTAAGTAGAATTAATGGGTCAAACAAATAGTATGGATGTTTTCAAGGTTCTTGATACATATTGCTAAACTGCTTCCAGAAATGCTACACTAATTTATGTCCTCATCAAATGTGAATGAAAAGTGCTATTCTCATCCCAATCTGACCAATCTACCACTACAACAGTATCCAGACATCGCAAATGGATAAACGGCGTTTTCAACAGCATGGCAAATATTAAGCTATAAGGGTAGGTGGGGGAAAAAACAGAATACGAGTTGTACAAAGTATATATTCCCAAATGTATAAAAATAATATATTTGAAAATGATCATCATGGTGGGATTATGGATTTTTTAATACTACAATTTTATGCATTCCCCAAATAGCATGTATTGCTAATTTTAAAACAAGATATACATCATAAGTCTATTTTGCCATTGTTCTAACTTTTCTACAATGAACATAAACAACTTGGAAGAAAAAATGAAGGGTAAAACGTATTTTAAATGCATAAGCCACAATGAAATATTGCTTGACTTTTTCATTTAGGCAAGGTAATTTTTTTCCTTTCCACTGGCAGCAGTCCCAAGTCCAGCCATGACTGAGACCATAGCCCAGAGACAGAGCTTTCAAGGTGCCTGCTCAGTTTATGAGCCAAGTTTCTATTCTTTTCTGCATGTGTTTATGTCTTTTCTTTTTAAAATACAGTATTTGGCCTGTGGTGAAACCATTAATTCTATGAGCTGATTAAATAAAGATCATTTCTCCTTTATTAAGCATACGAGCTTACCTCCTGTTTTCTGATATGGCTTTCTCTTATATACATTTTTTGTTCAGCCCTTGTTATAATGCTCATGCAGATTGTGCGTCTTAATAGTAAGCTGCCGGCTGGGCATGGGGGCTCATGCCTGTAATCCCAGCACTTTGGGAGGCTGAGGCCGGTGGATCACCTGAGGTCAGGAGTTCGAGATAAGCCTGGCCAACGTGGTGAAACCCCGTATCTACTAAAAAGACACAAAATTAGCCAGGCATGGTGGTGGGCACCTGTAATCCCAGCTACTTAGGAGGCTGAGTCAGGAGAATTGCCTGAACCTGGGAGGTGGAGGTTGCAGTGAGCTGAGATCGCGCCATTGCACTCCAGCCTGGGAAACGAGGAAAATTCCGTCTCAAAAAAAAAAAAAGTAAGCTACCTTTCAGGTCTAATCACAGAATAGTTCATACAGTGGTATACAATAAAGCTATTTTAAAAACCTACAAGTAGGCCAGGCGTGGTGGCTCACGCCTGTAATCCCAGCACTTTAGGAGGCTGAGGCGGGAGGATCATGAGGTCAGGAGATCGACACCATCCTGGCCAACATGGTGAAATCCCGTCTCTACTAAAAATACAAAAATTAGCTGGGCATGGTGGCATATGCCTGTAATCCCAGCTACTCGGGAGGCTGAGGCAGGCGAATTGCTTGAACCAGGCAGTTGGAGGTTGCAGTGAGAGCTGAGATCGTGCCACTGCCACTCCAGCCTGGCGACAGAGCAAGACTCTGTCTCAAAAAAAACAAAAAAAAATCTACAAGTATTGATGATAAATGATTTTCAAATTATGTGAAGAAAGCAAGGTCCATAAGAGTGTATGCAGCATGCTGCCATCTGTATAACAAAGACGGGAACTACATAAGCATGTATGTGTATAGAATATCTCTGGAATGGTATTTTAAAAACTGGTAACAGCATTTGGTCTCTGGAGAGAGGAAACTGGAGATGAGATAGGAAGAAGGCTTATGTTTCATTTTATGCCACTTTGTGTTTGTGTTTAAATTGTTTGCCATGTATAGTTTTATTGTTTTTGCAAGTTTTTTAAAAAATTAGATGTTTTGAAAGTGTTTTTACATGACGGTAAAGTAAAAATTTTAAATAAAGCATATGAGCAAAGGCAGTCACAAGAGAAAATATCTGCTTTGTTAAGACCACAGACCTTAGTGTTGGGACTTTGAGAACTGCCAAACTTTAGGATATTTGAAATTTTAATCACCCAATCTTTTAAGGTCACTTTTTATCTAATGGTCAGTATCTAGTGGTCTGAAAACCAAAAACAGGCCCAAAAACTCTGGGTACTAATCTCCCCATCTGTAAGAGCGTATCAAGAGATATTTGGCAGATCACATTTTGTCTTTTCTATTTTCTCTTTGAAAGCTGTTAGAATAATATTTTCTACTTAATGGAGGAGCTGTGACAACTAATCCTTGTAAAATGATTTCAGAATAAAGTTAAGTGTCATCTAAGAGGTGAGGAGAAGGAAGAGTGATTTTTTTCAATATGGTCTTTTACTTCATATTTGGAAGTTCTAAACTGAAGTGCTATTTGATGAGGGAAGCCCCTGAGCCCACTAAGCCCCAGAGCTTGACAGAATTAACACACCCAATAAAATACCGAATAATCTAATCAGAACACCCACCTGTTTCGCAAACACAGGGAGCAAAGCACCAAACTTCCATAGGCCTCAGTGAATTTCTGTAAAGCCCTCAGCCCTGCACCTGGCTCAGTGAATTTCTGTCTGGCTTCAGCAGCAGAGAACAGCTTTTCAGCAATCTGCTCAGGAAAGCCAATAAGGGAATCAATGTGATCCACATTGTCGGAGATGAAACCCAGGACAAGGCTGAAGAGGGATTTGGCGGAGTACCGAAGATTCCCCTCTCGGGTGTATGTGAAGATGAAATGATCAGTCTTCTCTTTCCGTGCAGTGTCGTCTTCCCTGTTCATGCAAAGCTCCACAGAAAAGCCTTTGGGGAACAGTCTGAAAGGCCTTGGCTTCTGCAGGCTACTCCTGACACCATCCAGAGCCAGATTGACCATGTGCAGCTGCCCATTTTCTCGCATGTAGATGGGCCCTGGGTCCAGGTGGTTTTCTGAGCTGAGGTAGTAAGACATTGCCTTGGTTGCAACTGTAAAAGCAAGGCACAGGGAAGCAAATCCAATTAAAATGCCATTTGTAACATGTAACTTCATCTTGCTGTGCCCAGGGCTTTATGAGCCTACCAGGCAGGCCTGGTGGCTGGTTTAGGAAAAGCAAAACTCACCAGTTGCCTGGGAACTTTGGCATTCAAGGTTGCCTCTATTGCCGCTACCTGGAATGCCCCTTCCTACTCTTCCCTTTTTCTTGTTTATCTGGCCATCTCCCACTCTTCTTTCAAAACCCAGGTCAAGGCCGGACGCATTAGCTCACGCCTGTAATCTCAGCACTTTGGGAGGCCGAGGCGGGCGGATCACCTGAGGTCAGGAGTTCGAGACCAGCCTGGCCAACATGGTGAAACCCCATCTCTACTAAAAATACAAAAATTAGCCGAGCGTGGTAGTGCGTGCCTGTAGTTCCAGCTACTCAGGAGGCTGAGGCAAGAGAATCGCTTGAACCCGGGAGACAGAGGTTACAGTGAGCCAAGATTGTTTCATTGCACTCCAGCCTGGGTGACAAGAGCGAGACTCCGTCTCAAAAAAAAACAAACAGAAACCCAGGTCAAAATCTCATCTTCAAAATTCATGCTAAGGAAGTTGTCACAGATGTCAGCAAAGATTCATTTATGTGTAAATTAATGGCAGCAAGTTTATATTAGCAAAACAATTGGAAAACGACCTAAATGTCTAACAATTGGGATGTTAATAAATACATTATGACTTACACGTACCATGGAATGTGATAAAGCCATTAAAATTATGAATTTTTAAAAAACATGTTTAGACACAGAAAAAAGACTAGAAATAAATAACTCCCTTGCTAGCTTGACACATTCCACACACTTCTTGGTTGCACTCGGTGCACTGTTGTATTTATTTGTTTCTGAGTCTGCCATCTGCTGCTTTGGGCTCCTTGAGAAAAGGAACCACGCTGAATTCATGCAGACTCTATAACACAGTGTCCTGGCATCTTATAGTCCCCGAGCAGATAGTGTGGAACCAACATTTACTCGTTTGCTAAACTTTACAAAGACCAAAAGCAACAGGATTTTTTTTATCTACAAATAAATACCTCCATTACAAGAGCTACATAAAAACTATTCTAGCCTTTGGAAACTTCGTATCTATTAAAGTTCTATTAGGGCAGTTTTAACATAAAAAAGTCAAACAGTTGGGCATTTCTGCAGTCATGTGGGTAATAATATATGCCCAAGAACTAACTGGAATACTTGTTTTCCTCCTGAGTAACCATGAGATTTCAAAATACATGAAAAATTGCTATGTTACATAAAATGAAGGTATTTGAGGATTATTTCTACAATTTAAAGGGAGAAGAGAGGTAGAATATCATACATGCCTGATAATATCCCTAAAATAATCTGATTGAGTTTTAGAGTGAACCAACTCAGCTTCTTCTGCATCAATGTGGGGCCACAATGTGGCCCTGAAGGCACTTATGAGTGTCAGCACACAATTAGGTCCGTGATCAAAAATGCTGAGTCTCTGGAGATGAAACAATGAACCTGTGTGTGGGAATCAGTACTATCCATGTTTCTCTCAAGGATAATTATGTGTATAAAAGCACATGAGAGAAGAGTACTCTGCCTAGCCCTAGAGCCTCACCCTTTCCTGCTCATCTCCTTATGTCCTACTCTTTGGCCCTGTCATACTACCCAGGTAAACTGGCCATGCTCTCATGTCCCACTGGCCATTGCTCGTTCTGTTCCCTTTGGCTGGAACATCCTTCTCTGCCTACCTGACCTAGCTAATTCCTACTCATCATTAACTTCGTCCCTCTTCTGGGAAACCTTCCCTAACCCCTGCACCAGTACGTGCCTGTCTGGTTTTCCCAGAGCACCCAGTCTCTCCTACATAGCACTTAGGACCATGTACTATGTCTGTTCACTTGTTAATGTACCCAGAGTGGTGAGCTTTTTGAAGGCAAGGTACTTATTTGATTCATCTATCTTTCTCAGGCTTGACATAGTGCCTAGTACTAAGTAAGCCCTCAAAAGATATTTGCTGAACTGTATGAAAGGAAGGGTAAGACCTCAAAGGACAAACTTGGTGCTCTCAGTTGTAGGGCCTGCTGATACTGTTGCTAGGAGCCAGCTCCTTTTCCAGGCAACAGCTGCAGGCTCCTCCCCCACTTGCCAGACCCTTCTGCAGGTGGCAGAGGCAAAGCAGACGATGGGAATATATTGCTACTGGTACTACAAGGGGTGGGAGACAACTAAACTAAAAAACAGGGGAAAAAAATCCTGTCACAGTGCCAGCTCTTATAACCCATACTTTTCTCTTGCCAGCATTTACAGCCCCTGCTGCTAAGGAGACACCTCATTTATTCTGAGCTGTTCCTCCAGTAGGGGTGAGCATCTGGACCCTCCAACCTTGCAGACCTTAATTTTGACTGAGGAATTACGGCAGATGTCCTTTGGTCTTTATCCCTGTCATTTAACATTCAGAGCTCCACTCTACTTGTAGATCAGAAAGCAGACGCTAGGTATGGCCCTAAAAAGGACTGACGTGATTTTAACAACAGAAAGACAAATTCTATGGAACATACCCTATTATAGTGGATGAATACACTGTGAACTCCCTGAGCAATGACACAGGGTCTGCCCATCTGTATTGCCCCCAACCCTCACCCCTAACAGTGCCTTCCACAAACACTGTTGTAAAATGGACAAATGGATGGATGGATGGGGTGGGTGGGTGACCACTTCAGATGAAAACTAGAAGTCTGATTCCATCCAGCAGAGGGCACAAGCAGCTTGGGGCTAGAGTAAGGACCCTAACCTGGGCTCCTCAAAATCCTGGCTGCTTTGGCTTCCAGGGATCATTTTCAAAAAAAAGGCACAGTTCTGGTTGTTTTTTTGTTTGTTTGTTTTTCTTTAGATTACCCACCAAATACCACTTATCTTTCTAAATGAGGAAAAAATAAATACAATTTTTTCCTGGAGAGTAAACCCACATCATTTGTCCAGAAGCCACTGGAGGAATTGACTTTGGTTTGGGAATCCTGGCGTCCTTTAATTTCTACTACTAAATCAGCACATCCTGCATTCTCCCAAAAAGGATCTTCCTGAGTCTATGAGGTATGTAACATGACCTAAGCATTAAATTAACATTTGAACCCTTCAAGGCTAAGAACCAGAAAGGCAAGAGAATTCTACACAAAACTTCACTACTTGGGTTCATTTGTCCCTCACTATTGTACTGGGTGGTGTATTACAAATGGACCTGGTCAGGAGACAGGGCCTGTTCTAAACCATGGTGAAAACTCCATCCAAATTGAAAAATTAAAATACTTAGTCACTACAACAATAACAATGCCCAATGTAGATCGTAGTAGCTGTATTATATATTGGATCAAGAGTAACAGCGACATTTTGATAGTTTCCCAGCCTGCTACA
The DNA here is from genome assembly GCF_000001405.40 of Homo sapiens. Lineage (NCBI taxonomy): Eukaryota > Metazoa > Chordata > Mammalia > Primates > Hominidae > Homo > Homo sapiens. Next base: position 53,948,562 of record NC_000001.11, on the reverse strand, counting down.
GGAAGGCAGCTTTGTAACCCATACGACAGCATAGAAAAATATTACAATCATGTATGTTCTAGCATTTGGTCACCACAAGCGAGCCAAAGTTACCACGAAGTGTACCATTTCATCAAATGAATGAAACACAGCTGTATTACATTAAAAACTCAGTTCTATACAGCTTTCTTGAAAAAGGCCAGACAAAATTATTGATAACTACACATGACAGTTTTTTAGACCTTGAATCCAGTTTCCCAAGCAAAAAGCATGACTATGCCAGTCAGGTGGACTGGGATTGTCAGGGAGCCCACAGGGTAAAATTGTGAGCTGAATCTACGGCTAATTTGAAGAGAAGAAGAAGAAAATATCTAACTTCAGTAGATAAAGTAAGATAAAAATCCCCTAAGAATAACAAGTTGTAGCAGTAACTATGATGTTTAATGATACTGGATGATGGCTACCATTTATTAAGCACCTACCAGTTGCCAAGCACTGTGTTAGGTACTATATAAAATGATCTCATGTAATCTTTAATGATCCTATGAGGTCAGTATTGCCTTTTAATAGACAAAGAGACCCACGGAAATAAAATAACTTACTCTAGAACAGAGCTAATAAGTGGCAGAGCCAGAATTCAATCTCAGGGCCGCATTACTCCAAAGCTCAAGCTCTTTCCTTGGCATGATGCTGTTTCTCAAGACTAAAAATATGACATCAACCTTAAGGATAAAAAAAATGTGAAAAATTAATCTCACCCACCTGTTCGATCCCTCTAGTATTCACTGGATGAAGCCTGGGGGGAGGGG